>NC_000001.11:206517920-206669435 GCF_000001405.40 Homo sapiens
TAGCCCCAGTTTGTCCCTTAGGAGCCTGTACAGCTGGTGAAGCATTAGTAATCCACCATCCCCAAAGAAATCCATTAACGAGCTCCTGGGCTGGGCACGTGGTGTGAGGTAACCGATCACTTCTGTCGTCTGAAACTTTGGAGACATTGATTTTCAGACTCACAGGCGCGACTGAGAAGTGAGGCTCGGGGCAGGCTCTTCCCTGCAGCCTGTTTGGTGGGGGCATTTTTATCTTATCAAGCTAAAAGCCCCAGGAATAGAAAGTTTTCCACTGGGGGAGGTGGAGGGGAAAGGACCTCAGTGCGGAGACAGAAGGCATCGTCAGTCGTTGAGGGTACCAGAGCCTGAGGGTCCAGGTGACTGTCCAGGTCATGCGAGGCCCAGGGCCCTCCCCGGAGCCCTCCCCCACCCGGCACTCCACCCCTGACGCCAAGCCTGGAGAAAAGCTATTGATCTCTGGCGCTGAGATGACCGAGGGCCAGGAGGAGAAGGCAACCGCTGCCTGCTTTGGGACAGTCACTGCTCAGCTCCAGCGGCTCTTCTGCAGGCTCCCGAAGAGCCGCTCGGTCTCCAAAAAGCACCAGATCCTGCAGAGGTTCCGCAACGGGGCCCGGAGGGCTCGGGGTAGGTCTAAGCCAATCTGACTGGGGGAGCTTGGGTTCTGAGGCCTCTGCTACTGGCTTCTCCCATAGAAAAGGAGTACAGGATCTTTCTGGCAGTCTGCTGTTTAGTGCTGAGCTCAGCACCACTCCTTGGCCCTCCTGACTCCGCAAGGACAAAGGCACAGGTGCTGTCACCTTGCCTGGTATGGGTTGAACAGCCAGATCCAAAGGACATGGTCTGCCTGTTTTGGAGGCCTTGAGTGGGTAGTGGATTTTAACAACTTTTTATTGGCTGAGAATTAGGGCCAAGCGGTCGTCTTAATCAGGGTCCCTGAGCTGGCAGAATATGGGTATCTCGGATGGCCACTGTTTTCCATTCTGCCTATCCTGTAGCCCTTCAGACCCTGCCAAGTTGCTGAGTCAGCCTTCTGAGGACCTGGGAGCAGTGATGTTTCCCAGGCAAAGGCTTCTCACCTGCAGAGTTAGTGAAGGTGCAGGCTGCATGGGGCTGAAGGCTGCTGGGTGGAGCACAGCTGACAGGAGTCCCGGCCTCGGGAAGTGGCCAGACCACTGATTCCTCTCCTGAGCACTAATTAGGGCAAGAACAGTCCTCGCCTGAAGAAGGATAACTGGACGGCATAGCGGTGAGTGAAAGATAAGAGGCAGAGACAACAGCAATCCAAATCATCATAGGATCTTAGGTCATCCCATGCCCCTTTTCCAATGAAAGGAAGCTGGGACCAACAAAAGGCCCTGCTGGTGGCAGTGCCAGGACTATGAACCCTGGGCACCTGCCTTCCAGCCTTGGATTCCTTCCGCTGTCTCATGCTGTCCACAGCATCTTACACTTCTGTAGCACTCTCTGCTAAACACTCAGAGCATTTACGTTTGTTTGCTTTTAATATCATTTATTCCCTCCAGATCCTGGTGTGGTGGGAATGGGAAGGGGATTATTCTGTTTCACAGATGAGATAGCTCAGACAAGTAAGGCCCCTTGTTAAAGGTCATTGCCATCTGGCTGGGTCTGGAACCTGCTTCTCTTTAACGGTTGGCACTCTTTGGAGCATACATACTTTTCTTGGGGCCCCCTGTCCCCATTTTTCTCTATACTTCTCTCATATACTTTCAAGAATCAGTGGGGATCTAGGCAGGTCACCACACTAAGTCATAGGGATGGGACTAAAATGAAGTGCCATCTCTGGACTAAGTTTTGGAAGCAGATTTTTAAAAATAGGATCTTGACTATGAAAAATACGATTTTTCTGATTAAGGCTTTACCTCTTGAGAAGTGGGAATTTTAATTCAACTAGCCCTAATCCCCATTTGGAGACAAATATTTCTTAGCCAGCCTGAATAATTTATCCTCATCAATATCCTAATACATACTGTGACCTTCACTGAGAAGAGAATTGGACACCGAGTTGCTCAATTTAAATGCTCACGAGCAAGTTGGTATTCATCCTCTCTTTCCCCCTCCCTTACTCTCTCTTTAAGAATTATTCAGCAGATCATTTCCTCGCTCCTTTGCTATTCAGTCCAAGGAGTTATAGATTTAAGTAAAATCAATCAGGCCTGAAGGGGCAGCATTAAGGTCAGGGCACATACCGCACTGTGGCTATGATGGGCTTGCTTAACTTGTGTTAGCATTTGGGCTTAATTGCCAAAAGAGGAGGGGAGAAGACAGGATGCTCAAGATGATGGGAAAGGTGGACTGCAGACTGTGGACATCTGGAATATCCTCATCTCACTCACAAGACTCCATGAGCAGCCTGGAGTGTGGCATTTAAGAAAATGGGTTTGGTGGCCGGGCGCGGTGGCTCACGCCTGTAATCCCAGCACTTTGGGAGGCCAAGGCAGGCAGATCACCTGAGGTCAGGAGTTCGAGACAAGCCTGGCTAACATGGCGAAACCCCGTCTCTACTAAAAATAGAAAAATTAGCTGGGCAAGGAGATGGGCACCTGTAATCCCAGCTACTCGGGAGGCTGAGGCCGGAGAATTGCTTGAATCCGGGAGGCGGAGGTTGCAGTAAGCCAAAATCGCGCCACTGCACTCCAGCCCAGTTGACAAAGCAAGACTCCATCTCAAAAAAAAAAAAAAAAGAGAAAAGAAAACAGGCTTGGAGCCAGGCTGCCTTGAGTCAGGATCCTGGAGTTACCACTTTCTGGCTGTGGCTCCTCCTACAGATTAACCTCTCTGAGCCTCATTTTTCCAAGTATAGGATAGGGCAGAATATCTCAACCTCAGACTGGTGTGGGGTAAATTAAATGTCAAACAGTTGAAACCATGTTTGGTGCATAGAAAGCCCTGCACTGGGAGCTGCTGTTGCTGAGTGCTCCCAGGAAGACTTTTCATAACTGCTCCCCGTGGGTCATTGGGACAAGCCTGCAGCACGGCTGTCTGCCCCTCCATTGTACCTGGACCAGGGTGGACTGCCTGCATCTCAGTGGGAGACATAGGACTTGAAGGTTGCCCAGGTAAAAGTAGAGGAGAGACATAAACTCACAAACACATTCCCTGGAAAAATTCCTATCATTGAGTTTACCACATCACATAATTAACAGGCAGAGCTAGATTAGCCCACCGGGTATCTTTAGGAGCTAAGCAAGCATGTCGCCAAGGAGCAAGTCATATGTCATTTTAAAAGGCTGCTAGGGGGGTCTGTGGGAAATAGGCCTAGGTCTCTCCAGAAGTCTCTGGTGGTCCTGGCTGCAGCGATGCAGCTGTAAAGAAACCTTTGTGTGTCTCCAGCAGAGAGGTCCTCTGACATAATCTATTTACTTTCCTTCCCACTGCAAAAAAGCCTGCTTTCGCCCGGTTGATGATTGGCACTTTGAATAGCTGCAAGTGACATCAAAGCAGGTGTGGAAAAACCAGTTGGATGTAGTAGCCTGGTTGTCCCATGATAGACTGAACCTGCCTGCTCCTGGCCTCCTGTGACCTCCTGGCACTAGAACTGGGCATACCTGCGGTGCATTCATATCTGTATTTCTGCATGAACTTCATCTGCCATCTTGCAGTTTGCATATGCCCAGCCAGGTCTCCTTGCAATCCTATTTGGCTGTCCTTATCTTTGGGGTCTGTGGCATACTACCACAAATATACTCTAGGCTAACAAGAGGCTAGGCTGCCCTTTGCCCCTTCTCAGAGATGATTGTCTGCCTTAAAAACAGAAACACAAGCAAACAAAAACAACCCTCCCCTTCTCTTTCCGTATGTGCCCCTCACTTCTAGAGCCCAAATCCTTTGTCAGCTACCCAGGGTCCTCCGTCTGTCTTCTCAGGGGCCCAGGGATGGGTGAGAGGGCCCAGAGCCCAGGGCTGGGAGACCTCTGCTGCTTTGTCTCTCTTACACCCAGAGCAAAGTGACACATGCCTAGACGAGGGGCCCCTCCTGAGCAGGCCTGGGGCCGAGAGGGTATCTGGCAGCTCCACACTGGCTTTGGATATCATGGGCTTGTTGCTATTTGTTGAGTTCCCTTAAACCCAACTGCCTACAGTGTTTTAAATTATTTTTTTTTTCTTAAGGTGCCTGGCAATAGGATTTCTTTTTTCCCGTGGTGATGATCAAACCAGTATATATCTTTACTGAGCTTTCTCTCTCTCTCTCGAATCCTTTCATACACTTCTTCCTGTCACACACAGTCTTGGTTGTGACTGCCTGTACTTTGTAACAGTGAGCTATGGGAGGCCCTCAGTCAGCACATGGTGAGTGAATGCAGGCCACACATGCACAAATGAACAACTGGTTAGGAGCTGGGTAGATGTGGAAAGAGGGGAGACGGAACCGTAGAAAAAGGTTTAGTTCTCTCCCTGTGTATCTCTGAGTACATGTGTCCTGATGGTCACACATAATTTAATTGCCCTGTTCAAAAACTGTGCTGTGTCTTTGCACTTCTCTCTGCATGGCCATACCCTAAATGCAGCGTGAGCGTTTTCTGATGTGGTGTCGGAGGGTCCAGGTGACAAATCTCTCACATTCACTGAGGAATGAGGTCCATTTGGCTTGCTCGCCCCAGCACCCTCCCCCAAACCATTTACTTTTACACTTTCTCCCAAAATAGATTGCCTCTTACCATTCTTGGCCAAGGGGGGATTCTCAGGACTGCTCTGTGATGTGCACTGAGGGCCTGCAGACTTTCCCACCTCTTTCTGCTCCCTCCACATTTTCTCCTGGCCATCACTGTCATCAACAAGCCGTACTGCATGAGGCCACAGTGCCATGGTATAAGAAGCTCAGTCAAATAGAGGTGCATCTCTTAAAGGGGCATACAGCATCATCAGGAAACATAATGTATATAAAAATTACAAAGAACCCCCTAACATGTAGTCAAGCCAAAAATGAATTAAAATTTAAAAAATTTAAAATGGTTTAGCTATTGTAAGATGACTAGATTCATTTAAAAGTAAAGCTAATTTAAAAGTAAAGCTAATTTTAGACAACAGTGGGCTCTGGTTAAAACAATAGAAATGTTATAAACATTGCATGTATAAAAAAATATATTCCAGGCGTGGTGGCTCACACCTGTAATCCCAGCACTTTGGGAGACTGAGGTGGGCAGACCACCTGAGGTCAGGAGTTCAAGACTAGCCTGGCCAACATGGTGAAACCCTACCCTACTAAAAATACAAAAATTAGCCAGGCATGGTGGCGGGCACCTGTAGTCCCAGCTACTTGGGAGGCTGAGGCAGGAGAATTGCTTGAAACCGGGAGGTGGAGGTTGTGGTGAGCAGAGATTGTGCCACTGTGCTCCAGCCTGGGTGACAGACCAAGACTTTGTCTCAAAAAAAACCCCATATATACATATAAAATATATTTATATATTATATATTTTATATATTATATAATATAAATATTATATTATATAAATTTAATATAAATATAAATATTATATATTATATATTATATAATATATTTTATATATAATATATAATATATTAAATATATTTTATATACAATATATAATATTATATATTATATATTTTATATATTATATATTATATATTTTATATATTATATATATAAATATATATACACTCTAGCCTGGGTGACAGAGCAAGACTCTGTCTTAAAACCATATATATTTTATATATATATAAAATATATAAAATATATTATATATAATATATTTATATAAAATATATAAAATATATTATATATAAATATATTATATATAATATATTTATATATTATACAATATATTTATATATTATATATAATATATTTTATATAATATACATAATATATTTTATATATTATATATAATATATTTTATATATAATGTACAATATATTTTATATATTATATATAATATATTTTATATATACTATACAATATATTTTATATATTATATATTTTATATATATTTTTCATGTAACATATATATTTTATATATAATATATATACCATATATAATATATTTTATATATAATATATATACCATATATAATATATTTTATATATAATATGTATATCATATATAGTATATTTTATATATAATAGGTATACCATATATAATATATTTTATATATAATAGGTATAACATATATAATATATTTTATATATAATATGTATACCATATATAATATATTTTATATATTATAGATACCATATGTAATATACTTTATATATAATATAGATACCATATGTAATATACTTTATATATAATATAGATACCATATGTAATATACTTTATATATAATATAGATACCATATGTAATACATTTTATATATATTATAGATACCATATGTAATACATTTTATATATATTATAGATACCATATGTAATACATTTTACATATATTATAGATACCATATGTAATACATTTTATATATATTATAGATACCATATGTAATACATTTTATATATATTATAGATACCATATGTAATACATTTTATATATTATAGATACCATATATAATATATTTTCTATATATTATATATATAAATATATATATGGTTTTTTTTTTTGAGACAGAGTCTTGCTCTGTCATCCAGGCTGGAGTGCATATATGTTTATATATAAAATACATATAAAATATATTATGTATAATATATAAAATATATATTATATATTATGTATAATATATAAAATATATATTATGTATAATATATAAAATATATATTATATATTATGTATAATATATATTATATATAATATATATTTAATATATTATATATTATCTATATATAAAAAATAGGGGATGGGGCAGAAGAGATGGGAAGGATTGCTTTCACTTGTCCTAGCAGGGAGTCAGTTAATATAGTCTATAGTTGAAGCACGGATTGCTAAAAATGGCTCAACACCATTACATTTGTTTATAATACACATGCACACATACACACACACACTCACACACACACACATGCACAGGGCAGAGTGGGGACATGCTTCGGGCTACAGCACCCCCAAAGAACAAAGTTGTGGAAACAGGCCATGTGGAGAAGGTGCCAGGGGTCAGGCCTGTCTCCTTTGTCCTGGGTGCCTGGCAGGCACTCCTCTTACTTCCTGCATCATTTGTCTGAACTTGTTGTGAACTATCCTGCCCTCTCTTCCTCTGCCCACTCCTCCCAAGACACCCCTACTTCAACACACCCAGCCTGGCCTGGCCACAGTACCTTCCTTTTGTTGATGTTTTCAGCCTAGGGATGTGTGGTTGTGTTGGAGATGGATGATTAATGTGCCTGCCCGAGAGGCACACCCACCCACACCCACCCACGTGAGACAGGATGGTGCCCCTGCAGGCCAACCAGGGCGCCCAACTTCTGCCAGGCAGGTTGGGTGTGTTTGGGAGGAGGGCACAGGGGACACATCCAGCCTTCCTGGGAATGTGGCTTGGAGAATAAATCACTGATACATTAGATCCAGGGACCCAGGTTCCAGAAAGAATTTTTCTTATTTTTTAGAGATAGGGTCTTACTCTGTCCCCCAGGCTGGAGTACAATGGACCGATCATAGCTCATTACAAGCTTGAACTCCTGGGCTTGAGCCATCCTCTCGCCTCACCCACCTGAGTAGCTGGGCCTACAGGCACACACCATCCCCCACCCCACTAAGGTTTTAATTGTTTTGGAGAGCTGTTTTACAAAAACAAAACAAAACAAAACAAAATTGTTTTAATTGTTTTGTTATGTTGCCCAGGCTGGTCCCAAATTTCTGGCCTCAAGCAATCCTCCTGCCTCAGCCTCCCACAGTGCTGGGATTACAGGCGTGAGCTACCTTGAGGGCCCCAGAGAGAATTTTAATATCTACTTTGGTGTCTGAGCAACAACTGAGCAGATCTTATGCCTTTCCCTTTAGTACAAAATGGTCGCTAAAAGTGTATGTCAATCCCATCCAGCCCTGCCACACAGAAAACTGATACAGTCATTTTGGAAGAGAGTAAAGACCAGGATCTTGGGGTGGTCTTTGGCTCTCTTTCCTGTGCCTCAGTTCAGCAGAGGCTCCCAGCTTCACCCCACCTGTCCAGCACTTTCCCTTCTCACCGGCCTTGGAGGAACCTGCTTCCATAAAGCCCTCCACCCCAACCCACTCTTTTACATGGGAACTCAGCATCTGAACCAAACTGGAGCTTGCTCAGGTGCATCCCCTCTTGGCTGTTCTCACAGAGACGACAGCCCCTGTGTGTCAGCTGCCCATCTTGCCTGTCCACATGAGGGGCTGGCCATCTCTGACCTTAGAGTTGCAGGACACTCGTCTTACCATTACATTGACCTTTCCTGTTTGCTTCCTGGCTTGCTTTCTGGCAGTGTGTGTGTGTGTGTGTGTGTGTTGGAGTTGGGGCTGGGGTTGTGTGGAGGGAGGGAGCAGTTGTGTGCCTCCAGGCCCTCCGGGCTGGGCTGCAGGATGCTGAATGCCCCCAGGGTGGTCTGTCCTCTAAATCAAGGAACTACAGTAAGTGGTCTCAAGAGGGCTGAGCTTTGCCTCCTTCCTGGAAACATAAGGATGCAGATGTCCTGACCTGGCTGCCTGACCCTTGGAGTGGGGAGTTTCCATTCCCTTGCTGCCAGCCTCACTAGGAGTTTAGCCAGGAGTTTGAAAAACTTATAGATCATGTTGATTTTGGCAATGGCTGCAGACCTCCAGGCTTGACTATCACAGTCTCTCCGCCTTCCCATTCACCAACATGACCTATCCTTCCAGCCCCCCTGCCTTACTCCTCTGCACCCATTAAAGGCAGAAGTTGGAGGGAAGTGGGAGCAGGTGGGAGGAACTCAGATGAGCAGGAAAGTTGCACAGTTCTTCTTACCCTAATACGTTAGAAGAGGACCTGAAAATTGAGAGGGTTTTTGGCTGGCATCACATGCTGAGTCCACAGGAAGCTGGGTGGACTCAGGCATCTCATAGCGTTGAAAATGACAGCTGCCATTTATTGAGCACCTACCATATGCCAGGTGCCGTTGGATGCTTTGCATACATACTCTCTAATTTTGGCAACAAATTTGCTGGCAAGAAAGATACTACCACCGCCATTTGCAGTTGAGGAAATTGAGGCTAACTAAATTCCACAGTTAACTGAGGTTAATTGTCCAGGTTTCTCATACCCAGTTAGAGGGAGGGCTCAGGCTCAAACCCTGATTCATGTGACTCCAGAGTCCAGATTCATTGCACGCCCCAGCACCCGATTGAGTGTTCCATCTTTTCCACCCATTCTCTAAGACCTCTATCACACATGTTAAGCAGTGTGTTTCAAGGGATCACACCATCTGGGTAAGGATTTCTGATGTATGGCTGGTAAGTGGGTGCGCTCTGGTGCCAATCTCTGAGGTAGTTGGTTCTGGGAACTTGGCGTCCATTTTGGTGTCATAGGGAGGGGGTTTGCAGAGGCTGGGCCTCTTTGAGTGGGGAAGGCTGAGAGCCTGCTGTCTTGTGGAGCCTGAACTTGGCTGAAGTGCTGGCCTTTCTGGTGAAATTGTCCTGAGAGCTCAGGACAGGAACCTTTGGCTGCTGCCTGGGTGGTTCCAAGTCTCGCAGATATGGTGTTCCAGAGACAAAGGGGTCATGGATGGAGGACCAATTCAGAGCAGGCAGACAGTATGGGTGGCTTCAGAAACTCCCAGGATGCTGGCAGCCTCCAAGGCTGAGTGGCTTGGTTGAGCTTGGAGGAGAGCTGTGAAGTGGCACATCCCAGGCCCTCCAAAGACAGGACCGAAGCCTCAGGTGGGGTACTCTCCCTGCTCCCTGCTAGGACAGAGGAAAAAGCACTCCTTGCCCAAATGCCTTCAACCCAGGCTCTTTCTGGCCTTGGGCCACCCTGACTCCCATCCCCAGTGAAGCCCATCCCTGGCCTCAAGCAGTGCAGAGTAGGGACCAGGAACAAGTGGAGGGGACGGTTCTGAGGAATGGGCTGTTGAGGAGCAGCCAGGCATGATGCATCTTCACTCTCCACCCTGCTGCTCGCCAGCTACAAGGCTGCCAAAGGTCATTTATCTCTTCAAGTCTCAATTTCCCTATCTCTAAAATAGGAGTAGATCCAATGAGTTAAAAACTTATGTCCACAAAATAACCTGAATAAAGTTGTTTATAGCAACTTTATTCAGAGTTGCCAAAATTTGGAAGCAACCAAGATGTCCTTCAGTAAGTGAAGAGATGAATAAACTATGGTCATCCAGATAACGGAATATTATTCACCAATAAGAAGAAATGAGTTGTCAAGCCATGAAAAGACAAGGAGCCTCATAAATATATATATAGCTACTATGTACCCACAATTTTTTTAATTAAAAAAAAAGACAGGGAGATAATACTAAGTGAATGCATAGTACTAAGTGAAAGAGCCAGTCTGAAAATTGGCTACGTATCTTATGATTCCAACTATATGATATTCTGGAAAAGATAAATCTATGGAAACAGTTAAAAGATCAGGGGTTGCCAGGGTTAGAGAGGAAGAAGGGATAAATAGGCAGAGCACAGCGGGTTTTTAGGGCAGCGAAACTACCCTGCCTGATGCTATAATGGTGGGTGTATGTCATTATACATGTGTCCACAGCCATAGAACGTACAGCACCAAGAGTGAACCCTAATGTAAACTATGGACTCTGGAGATCATGATGAATCAGTGTAGGTTCATCAGTTGTGACAAATGTACCACTCTGGTGGGGGATGCTGATAATAGGGGAAGCTGTGCAGCATATGTAGGGGCAGGGGGTATAAAGGAACTTTCTGTATTTCCTGCTCAATTTTACTGTGAACCGACATTGTTCCAAAAAAGTCTATTTTAAAAAAATTAGTGGTAGCCAGGCACAGTGTCTCACACCTGTAATCCTAGCACTTTGGGAGACTGAGGCAGGGAGATCACTTGAGGCCAGGAGTTTGAGACCAGCCTGGGCAACATGATGAAACCTCGTCTCTACAAAAAATTAAAAAATTAGCTCTCTCCTCGCATTGCCCAAGATGCTGAAAGGAAAGAAGGCCAAGGGGAAGAAGGTGGCTCCTGTCGTGAAGAAGCAGGAGGCCAAGGAAGTGGTGAATCCCCTGTTTGAGAAAAGGCCTAAGAATTTTGGCATTGGACAGGACATCCAGCCCAAAAGAGACCTCACCTGCTTTGTGAAATGGCCCTGCTATATCAGGTTGCAAAGGCAGGGAGCCATCCTCTACAAGTGGCTGAAAGTGCCTCCTGCGATTAACCAGTTCACCCAGGCCCTGGACCGCCAAACAGCTACTCAGCTGCTTAAGCTGGCCCACAAGTACAGACCAGAAACAAAGCAAGAGAAGAAGCAGAGGCCGTTGGCCCAGGCTGAGAAGAGAGCTGCCGGCAAAGGGGACGTCCCCACTAAGAGACCACCTGTCCTTCGAGCAGGAGTTAACACCATCACCACTTTGGTGGAGAATAAGAAAGCTCAGCTGGTGGTGATTGCACATGACGTGGATCCCATTGAGCTGGTCGTCTTCTTGCCTGCCCTGTGTCATAAAATGGGGGTCCCTTACTGCATTATCAAGGAGAAGGCAAGACTGGGACGTCTAGTCCACAGGAAGACCTGCACCACTGTCGCCTTCACACAGGTTAACTCAGAAGACAAGGGCGCTTTGGCTAAGCTGGTGGAAGCTATCAGGACCGATTACAATGACAGATACAATGACATCCACTGTCACTGGGGCGGCAATGTCCTGGGTCCCAAGTCTGTGGCTCACATCGCCAAATTCAAAAAGGCAAAGGCTAAAGAACTTGCCACTAAACCGGGTTAAATGCACACTGTTGAGTTTTCTGTACATAAAAATAATTAAAATACTACAATTTTTCCTTCAAAAAAAAAATTAACCAGGTGTGGTGGTGTGTGCCTGTAATCCCAGCTACTCAGTGGGAGGATTGCTTGAGCCTGGGAGGTCAAGGCTGAAGCGAGCCATGTTCACGTCACTGCACTTCAGCCTGGGTGGCACAGTGAGACCCTGCCTCAAAAAAAATAAATACAATAAAATAAAAATTAAAAATTGGGGTAGAAACACATATTGCCCAGTCATAGTATGGATTATATGAAATAATGCATGTAGAATACCTGGTGTATGGTGGGTACTGAGTAATGGTACCTGATGTCATCACAGTGTGGGTACGTGATTTTTCTTTGTTCCCTTTTTGTGGCATTTTTCCATTAGTAAAGAATATATTTCCATTATAAAAATTTAAACAATTTAGTAACTATAGAGGTAGGAAAAGCACTTGAAATCCCATCACTCAAAGCAAACATGTGACCTGCCTTCCAGACAGCTCTCTGCATAATGTATAAGTATGTATAGATTTTATATCATTGAAATCATAAAACACAATCTTTTTCCTTTTTTAGATGTATGTTGTGGACATATTTTCATGTTGACCAATATCAATATGCATCATCTTATATAATGGCTACATAGTATTCCATTTCAAAATATAATTATAACTAGTCTTTTGTAGATGGATGTGGGGGTATTGCTAGCATTTTGTTGTCATAAATAACTATGTGATGAACATTTTAGTGACAATATATTTAGATATGAGTAAATACATACCCAGAATAAATTCCTGCAGGAAATTGATACCACCAATAAGGTAGTACCTTCTCATTCCCCCACATCCCCTTTAATACTGGAACTTATTAACTTTGGTTAACAATTTTCTTTTCTGAAACTAGAGTGAGATTTTAGAAGTTCAAATGTTGGAGGAAGGGTGAGTAGAAAAGCAGGGAGGAGGGATGTTCCAGGGGGCCGGCAGAGGCTTCTCTGCCAAGTGGGGCAGGGTTACCCCTTACAGACTCTAAGCAAGTACACCCAGCCCCTCCCCGCTGCAGGGAGCTGAGCCCTGGGGCCTCCCTTGCTCATAGGGGAGCCATGGAAGGTCTGAGGATGATCAAGACCTTTTCCTTATGACTGTGATGCACCTCCAGGTGAAGGTCTGGAGGAAGGTCAGTGGGCACTGATGGGGTGTGCACAGACGGGCTTTTGAGATGAGGATGTCTGATGCTGTGGCCACTGGCCAGACAGACTTGGATGTTAGCGAGGTAAAAAGGAGAACTAATATTATTGAACACCTAGTATGTAGCAAGTGTTGTGTTGTTATTTACATAACATTCTCATTTGATTCTCAACAACCGTACTGCTATCATCTCCATTTAACAGATGAGGAAACCAAGGCCACTAGAGGTTAGGACACCGGCCTGGGGTCGGATCAGCACTCGCACTCTGGTCTCTCCACTTCAACAAAGGGCAGCAGAGAAGCATTCCTTCCTTTAGTCACTCAACCAATTTGTAGTAGTCCCTTTCTGAATGCTTGCTAGTGAATGGGCTTCCCAAACTCGGAGCAGGGCCCAGAGCAAAGGGCTGCAGAAAGGGTCGCATTCAGGAACTGTGGCCGAGGAGATCCGGAGCAGGCGGTGAGGTTGCAGAGGGAACAACTGTGTCTATTGTATGAGAACCTGAGTCTGAAGGGACATCTTGGGGCCAGGTTGAGAGGCGGTATCCTAGCTGGGGGAGCTGGCAGGGTAGAGGCTGCAGGGTGAGGGTGCAGGGGGCTGGAGGTGGTGGAGCTGCCCTGGGATGGTCTGTGCGCAGAGGGCGCTGGAGACCCTCTCTGGGTGTTCTTGGAGCTGCCATAGCTGGTCCAGCCCAGAGGCTCCAGTGGGGCAACACCCAGTGGAAAAATGGGGGATTCTTAAAGGAGAATCCCCTTGAAAAGGGATTGAAGACAGGTACCATGAGATGGTGACAGTCCCCACTGACTTATTCAAGAGGATCAGGACAAGCTTTACACCTGCCCTTTTAAAACTTTGGTAAATTGAGCCAGGCACGGTAATCCCAGAACTTTGGGAGGCCAAGGCAGGCGGATCACGAGGTCAGGAGATCGAGAGCATCCTGGCTAACATAGTGAAACCCTGTCTCTACTAAAAAAAAATAAATAAATAAATACAAAAATTAGCCAGGCATGGTGGCGGGTGCCTGTAATGCCAGCTGCTTGGGAGGCTGAGGCAGGAGAATGGCGTGAACCCGGGAGGCGGAGCTTGCAGTGAGCCAAGTTCACGCCACTGCACTCTAGCCTGGGCAACAGGGTGAGACTCTGTCTCAAAAAAGAAAAAAAAAATCTTTGGTAAATTGTAATTTTCCAATGCATATTATTTTTTCAGATTTCCCTGTAGTGCCTAAGAACAAAATTATCTTAAAACTAAAAGTGATTTGTGTGCTTGTTTTGGAAATACCTATAGGAATAAGGTTGGTGAGACTCAGGAATCCACATAGCAGAGCAGTGGAAGGAGAGGGTAGGGGATGGATCATTAACTCTTAACTTGGAACCTCCACCTTCCAGGGCTTCTATGTAGTTCTTGACATCAGGAACCCCATTTAATCCTCATGGCAGCCCTAGGAACTGGCTACTATGATTCCTGTTTTAGGGTAGAGAAAATTAATGCTCAGAGAAGTTCATAACTTACCCAGGGTCACAGAGCTAATTGAGCGGGGCCTGGAGGCCTGGAGGACTTTCTTCAAAGTCCATTCTCTTTCCATGACATCACAGCATAGGCCAGGCTGCTGGTCCTCAGGGAGAGAGGGAAGGGGGTGTTAAGGTTTGCTTAAGATTGGCTTTCTTCAAAAAGGCATAGGGATGTTCAGAGAATGCGCATACGTTCCCGGATTCAGAAGTTGTCCTGCTTTCCCTCAGGCATCGGAAGTTGCTTTGTCCATGCAGAGTGAGAAGCTGCTGTTCACTGACCTGGGATTGACCATAGGGGAGGCTGGTAGCTCTGGTGTCATCCAGGCTCAGTCGCCTTGGTGCCCGCCTGGCCCTTACCCACACCTTGGCCTGGGCTGGAGGAGGGGAGAGTTAAATGGAGAGTTCTATGTTGTCTCTGTATCTTGCATGCAACTCGGGTGAAAGGGCCTTAAGGGTTTCTTATCAACAGAATAAGTTCTTATCAACATACCCATTTTCTAGTTCAGAAAATAGCCACTCAGGCTATGCAGCCACACGGCAGAGGGTGCATGTGTGTGCCTCTGTGTGTGTGTGCATTTGGCAACTGGGTTGGGGCAAAAACTAACATTGGCAGCCCTGGGGATTAAGGGGAGGTTTGTAGCTTCTAAATTTTGGAAAAACAGCCTCCTAGCCATGGAACTCCTGTGTCCTGTGTAGTTCCACCTTCTGGCTTTACTTCTTCAGGGCTACAGTGAAAGAAGTAATGCCATCTCCAAGCATAGGCCACCATGGCCTGTGGGCCATGTTTGAAGTGGTGACTTGGCGGTAACCTTCAGGGACTGTGAAGCCCAGAAGCAGGCCTGGTAGAAGTAGGCAGGCCGTCTTGGCTTCAGTTTACCACTCCCTAACCTCCCTGTCCTGTCCTGCCGGCCCACTGTGATCTCTGGAGGAGGTTTCCACTAGAAACCGCCATCTGTTTGGGCCTAAGGGCTCTGTGCTCCTAATATGGCCCAGGGAGGGTCCGTGTTGTGGATTGAACTGGGCTTTCCCCAAAAATGATATACTTAAGTCCTAACGCCCAGGCTGAGCATGGTGAATCATGCCTGTAATCCCAGCACTTTGGGAGACTGAAGTGGGAGGATCACTTGAGGCGGGGAGTTTGATACCAGCCTGGGCAACATAGAGAGACCCTGTTTCAACAGCAACAAAAAAATCAACTGGGCATGGTGGCACACACCTGTAGTCCTAGCTACTCAGGACACTGAGGTAGGATGATGGCTTGAACCTAGGAGTTCGAGGTTATAGTGAGCTATGGTCATGCCACTGTACTCCAACCTGGGTGAGAGAGTGAGACCCTGTCTTAAAAAAAGAAAAAAAAAAGTTCTAACCCCCAGTAGTTCAGAATGCAACCTTATTCGGAAATATGGTAGTTGCAGGTGTCATTAAGATGAGGTCGCACTGGAGTAGGATGGCCTCCTGATTCAAGATGACTGGTATTCTTATAAGAAGACAGAAGCACAGGGAGAACGCCACGTGACGATGGACACAGAGGCTGGAGTCATGCAGCTGCACACCAAGGAATCCAGCAAATCATCAGAAGCCAGAAAGAGGCAACAAAGGACTCTCCTGCATATTTCAGAGCGGGCCTGGCCCAGCCAACACTTGATTTCAAGCTAGCCTCCAGAACTGCGAGACAGTAATTTTCTGTTTAAGTCACCTGGTTCATGGTACTTGGTTCCAGTGGTCCTGGGTGCTGAGGTCCTTGGCCCTCCATCCCAGCTCCTGGTTGTGGCTCCCTTCTGGGGAGAGGGGCTCCTATTGTGGTTTGTCTCCTTCATTTCCCTTTACAGTTGCCTCCTTCTATATACTTTCATAGGCCCCTCTTCCAAATCCTGGAAGCACATTTACTTCCCTCAAAGCATCCCCTAGCAATAGGGATAGGGTCTGTCATTGGAAGGAAAGGCTACAAAGGGGAAAGGATCATTTGATTTTACAGATGGCAATGTCAATATCAAGAAATGCCTGTTCTCCCGGAGAAACTACAGCTAGTTTCTCCTTAATCTGTTGCTGCCTCTTGTTTGCAAGATCCTTGTCCTCTTTAGTGATGACAGAATCCCCTGCCTCCTCTTGGCCCCTGTGATAAGGTCACAGGATTTACCTGGAGTCTCATCTCCTCTGGAAGCTCCCCAGAGCTGCCTGCACCCTGAAGCCCTCCCTGCCTGTTCTGGCTGGCAACTGTCTCTAGTTGAGCAAGCTTCCTAGGTCTGTGCCACAGCCAGGCCCCTGCTTTGGGCTGTCTCTGTTGTTAGTTATCTTTTCACATGTGCATCACATCTGCCCAGTGAGCCTGGGTTTCCCAGGTTTCTTTTCTAATTCATCCTCACCCTCGGGCTAGCACAGAGCACGAGGAAGCCCCCATGCTCCAGACATTGATGCTGCTGCCAGAGGCGATGGCACTAGCTGCCCAGGGAGGGCTGAACCCTTCCTTCCTAGAAGCCATGCTCCACCCAGAGTTTCACTTTTCCCTCCCTCCTTCCTCATCCAAACTGAGCACCTGGCCGGGTGCGGTGGCTCACACCTGTAATCCCAGCACTTTGGGAGGCAGAGGTGGGCAAATCGCTTGAGCCCAGGAGTTCGAGACCAGCCTGGGAAAAATGGTGAAACCCTTTTTTAATTAGCCAGGTGCAGTGGTGGGCGCCTGCAGTACCAGCTACTCAGGAGACTGAGGTGAGCCCGGGAGGTGGAGTTTGCAGAGAGCCACGATAGTGCCACTGCACTGCAGCCTGGGTGGCAGAGTGAAACCTTGCCTCAAAAAGAAAAAACAAAAAACAAAACATAAATTGAGCACCAGCTGAAGGCTGTGGAGGACAGTGGAATACCAAGGGCAGGGGTTGGTTTGGTTTGGCAGCAGCTGGTGACGAGCTGCCTTAAGGGAACTGTGGTCTGTGGAGAATTAACCACTGGGTCTAGTGGAATGTGGCTCTGTCTTTGGAATCTCATGGGTCTCCCCAATCCCTGAAAATGTCAGGCCTGCAGGCTGTTGCTTTTGGGTTTGGAGAAAGGCATGGGGGCTCTGACTTCATCTCTGCTGGCCTAAAAGCCCTGGGCTTGGCATTTCCAGGACGAGGAAGTATGAAGATGTGCTTCAGAGGTTTTGCTGCAGCCTGTGATTACATGGTCCGATGGAACAAAGTCTTTGGTGCTCAAACATGCTTCTTATAAAATCCCAGAACACTTCTCAGAGTCTTCTGCTACTTAGTGTTGTCCAGCTCAGCATGGTGATGTTTTCAGGGTGTGTGTGTGTGTGTGTCTGTGTGTGTGTGGTGTGTGTGTGTGTGTGTGTGTGTGTGTGAGAGAGAGAGAGAGAGATGGAAATTGAGAGATTCAGATGCACAGGTGGACATAGACTGCCTGTGCCAACAGGACAAGGAGCTAAAAGAGGAGGAGAGAGAAATTCCTCCTCTCCCAGGTGCCTTCCCATTTGTGAGTTATGGCAGCTGTCATCACCGTGGAGCTGGGCGAGCTTTCAGTCCTTCCTCCTTTTCCTTGCTGCCATTTCTTGGCATCCTCAGAGCATTCTTCATCGCTCAGAGCTCTACCAGAGCCATACAGGTGTGTCCCAGGGCCAGCGCCAGGAACAATGCTGCCCATTGTGGGTTCTGGCCTCAGTGCTCCCTTATCAAAACCCTGGTATTTCTGGGCACTGCGGGCAGAAGTTTGGCCTGCACTTCCCTTTGTACCCTTCACCTTACTAAAGGGGAGGCTGTTTTTGTGCTGAGCAAGAGGTCTCCCACGGAGGACCAGAAATGCATGTGGGTGCCTGCAGGTAGATGGGTGCATGCCCCAGGGAATTGACTTCATTCATTTCTGTCTCCAAGTGAGAGGAGGAGGGAGGCGTAGAGAAGCGTGGGATCTGAAGGAGAGGATATTGGTGGGCTTCACTTTCGAGCACAAAGGAGATGAGCAGTGAAGGTTCCAGACACTGTTACAGAAAGGTGGTCAGGCCATGGGTAGGAAGGTCGTGCGGTTCTGGGATCTCTGTGTGTCCCCACATTTGTCAGGGTGCTCCCCTATGGACATTAGTGGCAAAACCCGTGCAAGAAACATGGTCCAGGTGCTTATCTTTGGGGGAGTAAGGGAAGGGGCAGCTGGGGAGAGGGGGGTGTCATTCCAAAGCTCCCCAAAAGTGGGGAGAAAAGGAGCCATCACCCCTCTGCCAAGATAGAGTGTGCTGTGGTGGCTTTTAAAAATCGACACCAAATGTACTGAATTTTTGGAGCTTGTTAGAAGGAAGGAAAAGCATTTCGAGGTGCCTGAGCCCTTATCAACAAAAAGTGGCCCCCTAATCCCCAGGTATGCAATCAAGTCCAGGCTGTCACGACTCCTGCCACAAAACCCGCCCACCCTAACCCATCCTCATGACTTGCCTTCACAGTCCAGAAGGAAAATTTATGAGATTCCAGCGCCTAGAAGGCTGGGCCTTCTGGCCGAGCTGAGGCACCTCCAGAATAGGTGACTCCAGCTGACCTGGCAGCTATCTGTGAGGACCACACCTCAGATCCGAGCATTTTCCCTGCGGATGGACTTGTGTTACTTTCTTCTGCTGCCACCTTGTCTTCACTACCCCCCACCCCCGCTCCCCTGCCCTTCCCTCGCCTCCCTGAGTCTCCTGCTGCCTTTGACTTCACCTCCCTTCTGCCAGGAGGCTCCAAAGAGAGCCCTTGAGAAAGCTGGAAAATACTAGCAGCCTTGGTGCTGCCACCAATGAGCTGTGTGTCATTGGGCACCTCACTTTTTCTCTCTGGCCTCAGTTTCCCCATCTCTGAGGTAGTCCCCAAAGCTCTTTTCAACTCTGGTCACTAAGTCTCTGCTTCCATGGAAGTGAACATTGTCGATGGAATGTGCTTCCCCCGCTGAATCCCCGGATCTGGGATGTGGTCTGTGGGCTATTTCAGCTGCATTCAGAGTAGCATCCCCACATTCTAGCCTAGGCCGGGTCAGAGAGAGGTAACAGCACTTCCTGCTGATGATAATGCCTTTGTCTCTGGAAGCACTTTTAATTCTTCAAGATATGTCCTCCTTTATAACTAGAAGCAGGCAGGGGAGCTATTACCCATACAGGCTGAGTATCCTTTATCTGAAATGCTTGAGACCGGAAGTGTTTCTGATTTTGGACTTTTTTCAGATTTGGGAATATGTATGATACCAGTCAAGCATCCCAAATTTGAAAATCAAAAATCCGAATTGCTCCAGTGAGCACTTCCTTAGAGTGTCATGTCGATGCTCAAAGAGTTTCAGATTTTGGAGCATCTTGGAGATCTGATTTTCAGCTTGGGGATGCACAACCTGTATTTTACAGATTGGCAACATAAGGCCCATAAAAGTCAAGTCCTTCCCCAGGGATTTATGGGTGCTGGTGATTAATGTAAAGTGGTAGAAAGAGCACCAGTCTGGGAGGCAGAAGTTCTGACCTTGAGAAAGTCACTCAGTCTCTAGGCACTGATTTTCTATCTGTAAAATGGAAATAATAATGATTGCAGAGTCACACAAAGTAATGCAGGTGAAAGCAGTTTGCAAACGCGTAGAGCACTTAACTTGCATCCTTCCTGGGGGATCCGAGAGCAGGGTGGCATTCTCACGCTGTCTCCCGCCCCACCACTTCTCTCCTGCACTGCTCTTCCCACTGGGAACTAATGCAATCTCCAAGGTTATTTCTCTGGGTGAAAGTGGGGAGGAATCCTGCCTGTCCTCTAATCTCCCTTTTGTTCTTTACCTCCAGACTGTAAATTCACCTGTCACCCAGAATGCCGCAGCCTGATCCAGTTGGACTGCAGTCAGCAGGAGGGTTTATCCCGGGACAGACCCTCTCCAGAAAGCACCCTCACCGTGACCTTCAGCCAGGTAGGTGCCAAAGCTCTCGTACCAAGCTGGGAACAGCCTCTGCAGGTGCCCCGGGCTCCACTTTCTCTCCCAGGAGCTCTGGTGAGCAGGAGGTGGCATGAGGCCTCAGATTCCACATGCACTGGATGGAGTTCACAGACACCCTGTTCCAAGGGGACTAGGGGAAGTGACACAGAGAACTCTGAAGATACTCAGAAGTCCCCTGTAGTTCTCCCCAAGTACAGAGCCTATTGTGGCTTAGGGCTCTGAGCCAGAGATGTGGGTATGAGTGAGCAGTGGGGTGGCTTCCAGAGAAGCCTTCTGACGGTCCCTAAAGGCCTCATAGCCCTGGGACAGTGGGGATGCTGGGGCTGAGGCATCTCAAGCACATTGTCCAGCCAGGCCAGCCCAACCTTCAGAGAGGCTGGGCAAATGTTCTCTCCCTGTGTTAAAGAACCAGAAAATTGATGTCCAAAGCAGCTTTTGGTTCTGGGTTTTGTAAAGACACTTGAACTGTGATGTATCTGAACTTTTATTTCTAGGATTTAGAATGGAGACAGAGGAGTGTGTTTATTGCTTCTTGCATTGAACAAGCATTTGTTGAGTATCTACTGTGTACCAAGCATGGGTGAGAGTTGGGGTAATAAATGCTACGTCACAATTCTTGTCCTCAGACAGCTTGCATTCTGGCAGGGGAGGCAGAATACCAACAAATAGCATACACTGTGATGCATTTTGCAATAAAAGTATGAACCAAGTGTTTGGATATATAGTGCAATTGTTTCTGCTGGGAGAAATCAGGGAAGGCTTCCCAGAGGAGGTGATGTTTGATTTAAGCCTTAATGTGTGGGTTGAAGGTTGCGAGTCAGGGAAGTAAGAATATCATCCTTTAATTCATTTAACAAATAAGTTTCGAGTGTTCACCATGTGCCAGGCCCAGGAATGCTGAGGATTTAATGATGAAAATTACAGACATGGTTTCTACACATCCGGTGCTTACAGTAGGGTAAGGGAGTGAGACTTTAAACAAATATATCCTGTGTCTCTGACGGAAAATCTCAAGGTGCTCTGAGAAACTATACTGGGGGACCCAGGTGCTGGATGGGAGACTCACGAGCAGCCCCCCGGTCTCCAGAGTAGCCATCACATGCTTTTTCTGGAACACAATCAACAGTGTTCAAATGCCTAATTCACCATGGGTGTTACCAGCCTCCCAGCTGTTCCCTCACGCCTTTCTCTCTCCCTGGAAAAAGAATTATTAGAAAGCAAGAATGATATATGTTTTTATAAGGGTGATGCTGGATTAGTTCTAAAATGTATATTTTAAAACTCTGCACATCGCTCCACAGACGTTGGAATAGTAACTATTTCTGGTGTAGCCTGAATGTAGCCTCTTGGAAGGGCCTTACCCTTAGCAGGAACTGTCTACCCAGGATGGGACACAGGGAAAGGAGAGGAGGCACATCTGGCCCCCAAAAGTGCTGATGGGCAATGCAGATGTTTCCTGAAGGTTTTCCTCAGAAGATAGAGGGAGGAGGTTACATAGTACACCATATAGCAACATTTCCTAAAAATCTTATTGAAACAACCTTTTCTGGTCTCAATTTGCTTTTCTCTTTGGGAGCTTCCAAGTGTCTCTTCTTTCTGATCTCCTCAGCCCTGCACGCCACCCTGGAGCCTGGCTGTCCCCATTACTTCCTGGGTCTCCTCTTTGTGTCTCTTTCTGTTCCTTCCTTTAGAGCAGCAGGTCTCAAAAGGCGGCAATTTTACTCACCCCCTAGGACATTTGTCTGGAGACATTTTTGGTTGTCACAACTTAGAGGATGCTACTGATTCTAGAAGAGGCCAGGAATGCTGCTAGCCGGCCTGTTTTGCATAGAACAGCCCCCCACAACAAAGAATTATCTGACCTCAAATGTCAGTTGGGCGAAGACTGAGAAACCCTGCCCTAGAGTGGGCTAGCCAGCTCCCAAGTGTGGCAGGCAAAAGGCCCAGGGAAGGCCTGGAGTTGGCTGGATTCGTTGTCTCATCCTCCAAATGTCAGCAGTGAAGAGATGCTTTCATGTCTGAGTTTTTGGAAACAGAGTGACCCCCTTTCCTCTGCTGGAGAGAGGAGTCAACCTTGGAACCCTCTGGCAAGTGAAATCAGGGCTTGTCTAGAGCAGAAACACCACTGAAACATTGCAGAGGAAGGAGCCAAGAACCCCGCGTGGGAGCTGAACCGCCCCCAGTGGGCAAACAGCCTGGCATGGGGTTTGCTCCTGGGCTGGCCAGATCAGGCTGCTGCTGTATTTGCCTTGGACAGGCCTGCCTGCATGCTTCAGCAGAACTGGGGCAGGACCCAGCCCTCTATCAATAAAACCTGGGCCCTGCTCCAGGCCCACTTGCCTCTTCTAAAAAGCCTGTTTGTGCTCATTTCCGCCTTGGCTTGATTTTCTGTTAAATCTCAAGATGGAGCTTTCTTTCACCTTGACATCATCGACCTGGGCTGAGCTAACTTCATGTGCTAGTGCTGTTTTCTTGGGGGATTTAAGGGAGCAGGGGCTCAGATCTGAGCTCAGCTACTTCCGGGTATATATGGCTTAGGGGGGTCTCGTCTCAGTGGCATTTCTCCTCTCTGATATATATTTTTTTTTCCTGAGACAGAGTCTCACTCTGTTGCCTAAGCTGGAGTGCAGTGGCATGATCTCAGCTCACTGCAACCTCCACCTCCTGGGTTCCAGCAATTCTGCCTCACTCAGCCTTCTGAGTAGCTGAGATTACAAGTGTGCTCCACCATGCCTGGCTAATTTTTGTATTTTCAGTAGAGTTGAGGTTTCACCATGTTGGCCAGGCTGGTCTCGAACTCCTGACCTCAAATGATCCACCCGCCTTGGCCTCCCAAAATGCTGGGATTACAGGTGTGAGCCACTGCGCCCGGCCCTCTCTGCTCTTTAAGGAAAGAAAATCATTTATTTTCCTCCATCCAGAGAGAACCATTCTTTATTAACATTTTTATATGTTCTTCCTGAACATTCATACATTTTTCAAAACATGATTGAGATCATCCTGTAGATAAGCATTTGGCCTCAACATTTCAAAAGCAACAATCCCAAGGTTCTGTCTTGTCTCTGCCATGCCACAGGGAGGCAGCTGGGGAGGAAGGAGGGACAGGTGTGGAAGCGGGCAGGAATGAGCTCAGAATCCCCAGTGGCAAACTCAAAAGGTCATCGGAAACAGGCATCAGAAACCGAGGAAGGCCGCTGGGAGCTGTCTGTGCTTTTGTCAACCACAGAAATGAGGGTTTTGGAGTTTCTCCTTAAAGATCTCTGAGGTCTCTGATATCTGACTTTTCCTTGGGCACCCATGCGTGACCAAGCAAATCTCCTTCAAGTCTACCCTAGACCCCTTTTTCAGTTTAAGCCTCATTTGCTAAGGAACATCATCGCTATTGGCTAAAGACCACAATCAGTTACCCAAACAGCTGCAGTTCTTCTATTTAGGATTATACCCCAAAGAATTTATACTTCTGGTGGTCTTAACGGTGCTCTTATCCTGTCACCCCTGGGAGGAAAAAAGCCCTCAGTGGCTCCTGGTGCCCTCACGATGAAGTGAGGCCTCTGATGGCTTGGTTCAGTCCTTTCGCTGCCTATGGAGAAGCTGGCCCCAAGAGAAGAAGTCTTTGTCCTTGCCCACCACTGGATTCTCATTATCACCCACTGCGGCCCAGGGCAACCCCGGCAGCTCTGTCCCTTTGGCCTTGGGTGCCGCTTTTCTTGGTACATGGAATGCACAGATTGCAAGAGAGAAACATAAGCACTATTCCTTCTACTCCAATCCCTTGCAGCCAGTGCTCAAATTTTATGCCAGCAGGCCCAGAGTCCTACCCCTTCCTCCTGACCCTCTAGAGTCCCTGATATGGTTTGGATGTGTGTCCCCTCCAAATCTCATGTTGATGTGTGGCCTCCAATGTTGGAGGTGGGACTGTTGGGAGGTGTTTGGGTCATGGGGGTGGATCCCTCATGAATGACTTGGTGCTGTCCTGCAATAATGAATGAGCTCTCGCTCTATTAGTTCACACAAGAGCTGGTTGTTTAAGACAACCCTAGCATCTCTTTTTTGCTGTCTCTCTCGAGTGTGACACGCCTGCTCCCCCTTCCCCTTCTACCATGAGTAAAAGCTTCCTGAGGCCTCCCCAGAAGCCAAGCAGATGCTGGTGTAATGCTTGTACAGCCTGAAGAACCCCAAGCCAAATAAACCTTTTCTCTTTATAAATTACCCAGCCTCAGGTATTCCTATATAGCAACACAAAATGGACTAAGACAGTTCCTGGGCAGCAACCTCGGAAACCAGGCTCCCAGGCCCTCAGCTGCAAAGGCCAGCCCCTCCCATGGCCGTTCCCAGACCACACTCAGGCACTTTCCCCACTCAGGACTCAGGCCCTGCTCATGTTCCACCTGTCTACTATTTACTTAACATTTCTCTTTAAATAGACTTATTTTATTAAATTTAAATAAACTTACATTAAAGGAAATTTTAAAATATCCTCGAATCACTGGTTTGATGTACTTAGGAATTTTTTCTCAGCACACATTAAATGAATACTTATAATTTCTTTTAATATGTGTCTAAGGACTGCCTCAAATTTACTCCACAAATATTTATTAAGCCAGGCACTAGCCAGGCACAGTGGCTCACACCTATAATGTCAGCACTTTGTGAGGTCAAGGCAGGAGGATTGCTTAAGCCCAGGAGTTTGAGACCAGCCTGGGCAACATAGCAAGGCCTTGTCTCTACTAAAAATTAAAAACATTGGCCAGGTGTGGTGGTGGTGTGCATCTGTAGTGCTAGCTACTTGGGAGGCTGAGGTAGGAGGACAGCTTGAACTGAGGAGAAGGAGGCTACAGTGAGCTATGATCATGCCACATGCCACTGTACTCCCATCTGGGCAGCAGAGTGAGACCTTGACTAAAAAAAAAAAAAAAATCCACGCACTGTTCTAAAGTCCTTTCAGGTGTCATTTGTGGGAGATGCTGCCCTATCGAGGCCACTCTCTTTGGCCATCTGGTGCCTGGACTACCAGGGCACTGGGTCCAGGGAGTGCCTAAGGGGCAGTGTGAGCAGTGGAGAGAGCTCCTGGGATGCTGAGAAGGAATTGCCAGCTGTTCTTACCAATACCAAGGTGCTCTTCCAAAGGACACTTGGATCTGTATATACTGATACGGAATTGTGCAGCATGAATGCAGGTCCCTCCACGGTACACATAGGACCAGGCCATTTGTATTTTGCATGTATATATACACGTGTGTGTGTATGTGTGTGTGTGTGTGTGTGTGTGTGTAAATGCAGAACGAGGGCCTGGTAGTGCTCAGCTAACTACTGAAAGAGATTTCACCCTGGAAGGGGGTGGACGTTGAAAGGGGTAGAGTGAGGCTCTCACCTTTTGCCCTTTGTTTCTGTGTTGTTTGAATAGCCAAATGCTTTTCATATGTTCCTAATGTCATTTTTTATTTTTATTTTTTATATTGAGTCTTGCTCTGTCACTAGGCTGGAGTACAGTGGTGCAATCTGTGCTCACTGCAACCTCCGCCTCCTGGGTTCAAGAAATTCTCCTGCTTCAGCCTCCTGAGTAGCTGGGATTACAGGCGTGCACCACCATGCCAGGCTAATTTTTGTATTTTAAGTAGACACAGGGTTTCACCATGTTGGCCAGGCTGGTATTGATCTCCTGACCTTGTGATCCGCCTGACTCGGCCACCCAAAGTGCTGGGATTACAGGTGTAAGCCACTGCACCTGGCCCTAATGTCATATTATTAAAAGGCAGTAAATGTTTTCTTAAAACACAGACCCTTGGCCTGGGTGACTGAATAGCTAGGTTCTAATCCAGATTGTGTAGACGAAATACTTGACATATGAGCCAGGACAAGCCTCTTAGTTTCTTTGAGTCTCAGGTTTCTCTTCTGAGAAATGGGACCCTGTGAGGCTCCAGCGAGAAGAGGTGTGTGAAAGCATGAGTGGACAAAAGCATGAGTATTCTAGGTGGCAGTCCTGGGCCATCTCTGGTACCTCTAACAGTCTTGCTAGATGTAGATTTTTTAACTGTGTAACTCCTGTGATGAAAGCCCTCAGTGGCTTCCCATTGCCCTCAGAATGAGTCTAAATCTGGATTAGCACACACAACCCTTATGGTCTGGCTCTGCCAACTCTCCAAAACACCAGAAAGTAGGGTTGTTGTCCTGGATATAAAACCAGGACTCTCTGGCTTTGTGGTTTGGGTGGACATTTTTTGCTATAAGGTTTATGACTATTGTTGAGGCCCCAAGTCACTATTCCACCCTGTGGATGAGTCCCTGTCCCCACTCACCAAAGGAGCAGATGGCTTCCAGGGTTCCAGGATAGATCAGCCGGCCAGCCAGCATTTCAGCCTTGCAGGTCCCTGCTGCCTTTCTGCCTACACCCCCAACCCCAAACACTGTCAAGCCTTAGCAGGGCCCCTGCTGCAATCACCCCTCAGCCCCTGCAGCAGAGTAGTGACTCCGCTGGCTTGGAGTTCTGTGCTTCCTGGCTCCCAGTCCTTTGCTCCCTCCTGCAGACATGCCACTGTCTGCATTAACGCGGTCTCTACCTTTCCAGACCCTTGAGAAAAAAAAAAAAGCTCCTGCGGCCAGTCCTGCCTTGTCCCTCAGCCCAACAGCCACGTGTTGAACCCAGGATGACCACGTGGGGGAGCCAGAGAGCAAGAAGAAATGCGCCTAAAAGGGCAGGTGCTGGGGGTGGGGGGATGTGTCCTTTCCTGAGGCCCCGGGCTCCCTAACACACTTGATAGACCTACCTGCACATCTCTCAGGAAGTGCAGGGTCTTGGGTCCCTTCTGGAAGCTTCAACACATGTTAATTGAACTGTGACTGATAACAACAGTAGCTGACATTTTTTGAGGCATACCTGTGTTCTGTCTACTCATTTCATTTATTATTGAAAGAAGTGTTGAAATCTCCAACTATAATTGTGGATTTGTGTATTTCTCTTTACAGTTAATATGCCTGTATTTTGAAGCTCCATTATTAGGTGCATAAACTTTTAGGAATTTCTTGTGTTTTTTTTTTTTTTTTTTTTAACAGACAGGGTCTCACTCTTTTCACCCAGGCTGGAGTGTAGTGGTGCTCATTGTAACCTTGAACTCCTGGGCTCAAGTGATCCTCCAGCCTCAGCCTCCCAAGTAGCTGGTACTACAGGTGTGTGCCACCATGCCTGAATATTTTTTGAGTTTTTTTATAGAGATGGGGTCTTGCTCTGTTGCCCAGGCTGATCTTGAACCCCTGGCCTCAAGCGATCCTCCTAAAGTGCTAGGATCACAGGCACAAGTCACCACATGGGATACTTTTAGGATTATTATGTCTGCTTAGTTAATTGACCTGTGTATCATTATGAAATGACCTTCTTTATCCCTGTTAACATTCTCTACTATGAAATCTACTTTGTCCAATATTAACATAGTTACTGCAGCTTTCTTTTAATTACCATTAGCATGGCATTCCCTAATCTACCCTTTCATTTTTAGGCTATGAGTCTCTTTATATTTAAAGATCATTTCTTATAGGCAGCAAATAGTTGGATCTTGTTTTTTTTTAAACCAATCTGCTCATCTCTACCCTTTGAGTATTTAGATCATTTGCATTTAATGTGATTATTGATATAGCTAGATTTTTTTTTTTTTTTTTGAGACAGTCTTGCTCTGTCACCCAGGCTGGAGTGCAGTGGCGCGATCTCGGCTCACGATATAGCTAGATTTTAAGTCTATCTTCTTACTACTTTTTTTCTTTTCTTTCTTCTTTTTCTATTTTTTTTTTTTTTTTTTTTTTTTTTTTTTTTTTTTTGGGACAGGATCTCATTCGGTCACCCAGGATGGAGTGCAGTGACACAATCATGGCTCACTGCAGCTTCAACCTCCCCAAGCTCAGGTGATCCTCCACTTCAGCCTCTCGAGGAACTGGGACTACACATGCACCACCACACCTGGCTGACTTTTTTGTACTTTTCGTAGAGACCGGGTTTCGCCATGTTGCCCAGCCTGGTCTCAAGTGATCAGGGGCTCAAGTGATCCTCCCACCTCAGCCTCCCAAAGTGCTGGGATTATGGGTATGAGCTACCGCACCCGGCCAGCTATTGGTTTTCTATGAGTATTCTATCTGTTCTTGGTTCACTTTTTCTTTTTTTCTTTCTTGCCTTCTTTTGGACTACTTGAATGTACTTTATGATTGCATTTTATCCCATTTGTTGCCTACAAGCTTTAACCCTTTGTTTTGTTATTTTAATGGTTGTCTTAGCATTTACAGTATATAAATGGTCCTTAATTTATGGGATTACATCCCAATAAACCCACTGAAAGTTGAAAATACCTGAAGTCAAAAATGCATTTAATACACCTAACCTACCAAACAACATGGCTTACCCTAGCCTATCTTAAATGTGATCAGAACACTTACATTAGCCTATAATTGGGCAAAATCATCTAACACCAAACCTATTTTCTTATGAAGTGTTGAATATCTCATGTAATTTATTGAATGCTGACCTAAATTATGGTTTCTATCAAATGTGCATCTCTTTAGCACCATCTTAAAGTTGAGAAATCATAAGTAGGACCGTTGTAAGGAGGGAACCATCTGTACATCTTTAGCTCATCACAGTCTACCTGTCAAATGATACTATGCCATGTCATGTATAGTATAAAACCCTGGCTAGGCACAGTGGCTCACACCTGTAATCCTAGCACTTTGGGAGGCTGAGGTAGGAGGGTCATTTGAGCCCAGGAGCTCGAGACCAGCCTGGGCAACATAGTGAGACCCTGTCTCTATTTTATACCAAAAAAAATTTTAAAAAAGAAAAGAAAAGACAAAAATGATAGTATCCTTCCATTTCTCATCTACAGACCTTTGTACCATTCTTGTCCTGTATTTTATTTTCGCATATACTACAAGCCAGGGGTCCCAGCCCCCAGGGCCACACACATGGCCTTTTAGGAATCAGGTTGCATAGCAGGAGGTGAGCAGTTGGAGAGCAAGCCACGCTTCATCTGTATTTACAGCCACTCCCCATGGCTTGCTTTACAGCCTGAGCTCTGCCTCCTTGTAGACCAGCGGCAGCATTAGATTCTCGGAGGAGCCTGAACCCTATTGTGAACTGCGCATGCGAGGGATCTAGGTTGCGTGCTCCTTATGAGAATCTAATGGCTGATGATCTGTCACTGTCTCCCATCACCCCCAGATGGGACCATCTAGTTGCAGGAAAACAAGCTCAGGCCTCCCACTGATTCTACATGATGGTGAGTTGTATAATTATTTCATTATATATTGCAATGTAATAATAATAGAAATAAAGTGCACCATAAATGTAATGCACTTGAGTCATCCCCAAACCACCAGCCCCACCCCAGTCCATGGAAAAATTGTCTTCCACAAAACCAGTCCCTGGTGCCAAAAAGGTTGGGGACCACTGCTATAAGCCCCTTACAATATTGTTACTATTTTATTTAAATGGCCAATTATATTTTAAAGAGATTTAAATGATAAGAAATTGTTTATTCATTTGGTTACCATTTCTGGTACTTTTTTTTCTTCTGGTAGATCCAGGTTTCCATCCGATATCATTTTCTTTCTGCCTGAAGGACTTTCTTTAACATTTCTTGTATTTGTGGGTGTGCTGATGATGAGTTTTTTCAACTTTCCATGTCTGAAAAAGTTCTAATTTCACCTTCCTTTTTGAGAGATTTTTATGGGATAGAAATTTCTAGGTTGGCACTTTTTTTCTTTCATTATTTTGAAGATGTTGCTTCACTACCTCCTCACTTGCATTATTTCTAACAATAAATTTACTGGTATCTTTATCTCTGCTCCTCTGTATATAACATATTCTTCTTTTTTCTTTTTATCGCTATGTATTAGTCTGTTTTGTGTTACTATGAAGGTATACCTGAGACTGGGCAATGTATAAAGAACAGAGTTTGACTCATGGTTCTGCAGACGGTACAAGCATGGCACCAACATCTGTTTGGCTTCTGATCAGGACCTCAGGAGGCTTTACTCATGGCGGAAGGTGAAGGGAGAGCAGGCATGTCACATGGTGAGAGAGGGAGCCAGAGAGAGAGGAGGAGGCGCCAAGCTCCTTTGAACAACCAGCTCTCACATGAAGGAACAATACGAGATGCTCATTACCATGGGGAGGGCACCAAGACATTCATAAGGGATCTGCCGCCTCAACCTAGACACCTCCCGCCAGGCCCCACCTCTAACATGAGGGGTCAGATTTCAACATGCGATTTGGAGGGGACAGATATCCAAACTGTATCACACTGGTTTTGAGCAATTGGTTACAATGTGCCTTTTGTACTTGTCTTTATGTTTCTTGTACTGGGTGTTCATTGAGTTTGTTGGATCTGTGGATTTATAGTTTTCACGAAAATTGGAAAAATTGGGGGCATTATTTCTTCAAATATTTTCATACCCCCCCACTCTGAGGATACCACTTACATGTATATTAGACTGCTTGAATTCGTTCCACAGCTTACTGCTCTGTTCATTTAAAAAATTCTCTTTTCTTTCTGTGGTTCATTTTGTTTTGTTTTATTTTGTTTTGAGACAGAGTCTCGCTCTGTTGCCCGGGCTGGAGTGCAATGGCGCGTTCTCGGCTCACTGCAACCTCTGTCTCCTGGGTCCAAGTGATTCTCCTGCCTTGGCCTCCCAAGTAGCTGGGATTACAGGTGCCTGCCAACGCTCCCAGCTAATTTTTGTATTTTTAGTAGAGACAGGGTTTCACTATGTTGGCCAGGCTGGTCTCGAACTCCTGACCTCAGGTGATCCACCCACCTTGGCCTCTCAAAGTGCTGAGATTACAGGTGTGAGCCACCATGCCTGGCCTGTGCTTCATTTTGGATCATTGCTATTGCTGTGTCTTCAAGTTTGTTAATCTTTTCTTCTGCAAAGTCTAATCTGCCATTAATCCCCATCTAGTATATTTCCCATCAAAGGCATTGTAAATTTCAACTCTAGTGGTTTGATGTGGATCTTTTAAATATTTTCCATTTCTCCTACTTAACTTTTTGAATAAATAGCATATACTTATTCAGACATTTCTCTGGGCTCCTCACAGCCTATCCCCTTCTACCCTAGAAGCAGTGGGCTGCCTGAGACACCAGAATTAGTGTCTTTGACCAATGCTAATATCTGTGTCAGTTGTGGTCAGTAGTCGAGACAGAGTCTCACTAAGTTGCCCAGGCTGGTCTTGAACTCCTGGCCTCAAGTGATCCTCCCACTTTAGGCTCCCAAAGTCCTGGGATTACAAGCATTAGCCACTGCACCCAGCCCTGTGGAAATATTCCTGAGTTTTGTTCTAGGACCCAGTTAAATTACTTAGAAGTTCGATCCTTTTTAAGGTTTTAAGAGCCTCTTTAAGATTTGTCAGGATTGGAATAGTCCTCAGTCTAGGGCTAATTATTTCCCACCACTAAGGTAAGACTCTCTGTGTACTCTACTCAGTGCCTAATAAATCATGAGGTTTTCTGGTATGGCTTGTAGGAACAGGCACTATTCCTGCCCTGTATGAGGGCAGACACTGTTACCTGTAATCCTTTTGGGCGGTTCTTTCTCTAGCCTTGGGTCATTTCTTCCCATGCACACACCGATCAGTAAGCACGCAGGTGAATACTATAGGGGCCTTTCTGCAGTTCTCTCTCTCTGCAGCTGTCTCCATTCAGTTACTCTGTCCTGTGAACTCGGGCTGCCTTTGTCTCCCTAGACTCGAGCAGCATCTCCTCAGCTTCAGGGGGTTTTCCAGGCTCCACCTTAGTACCCGCTCTGCACCACATCTGGGAGTAAACTGGGAGTAAATCTAGGGATCAACTCATTTGTTTCCTGTGTCTCGGGGATTGCTATTCCTCATTACCTGATAGCCAGTATTTTAAAAACCACTGTTTCATTAGTTGTATCCATTTTTTTGGTTGTTTTAATCAGGAGGATATATCTGAATCCTATTCCCTCATCTTTGCCAGAAGCAGAACTCCCCCAGGCACTGTTCTAATCCTGATTCGTACTAGTTCATTTAATACCCAGCCTTACGCATTGGGTAAATGCCTTGAGGGCAGGGATCCTATCTTTTGCCATTTAGTCTTCCTCATAATGCACTGGGCCTTGCACATAGTAGGTGCTGAAGAAGTCCTTCATTTTATTCGATTTTGAACTTGGATTTGTGGAGGTTTTTTGCATTCAGAATGCTGGTTCTCCCACTTATTATGACACTAGGAAAGTACATAACCTCTCTTAGCTATTACATGGGGACACCAGTGTGGTTGTTGTGGCAACTGTATAAAAGCACTTGTAAACTCCATGGAGCATGAACCTTGTTTGTTTACCAGTGTGTTCCCAGCACCTACCACAAGGAATATATATAATAGGACTGGCAAATAACATAGTTTCCCTTGCCCCTATGGTGTTTTAGAGCCTTCAGCCCAGCAGGCTGCTTGCCCTCTGTAGACACATTATCCTCAAGATAGCTATGGGTGTGAACAATGCTGCTCTCAGCATCTTAAAATATGGTAACGCTCCAAAATGGGGATTTTGTGTTGTACCCTGAGCACACAGGCACAAATCCATGTGCCTGCCCTGCTACCCAGTCCTAAGGCTGCTGACAGCCCCTTTCTGCCATCTTGGAGCAAGTTTAGCGCTCCCAGCTCTAAAATCTGGCTTTCTATAGCTTAATAACTTTATGATCTAGCAATCAATTGATATTGACAGAATCTTTTGTTATTCTGTGGCCACCAGAAATGAGAGGAACTCACCACCTTTAGTTGACATGGCAGGAATGTCAGGAAAGTCAGAAACTAGGGTCCCACATCTAATCTTTCCTGGTAGATGTGAGGGTGGGGAGCAGAATACATTAGACCCCACCTAGTCCCTCAGTCAGTATTTCCTTAGCTTCCAAACCCCAAATTTGGCACTGATTTCTTCTATTCTGACTCCTTCCCTTGATAAGAAGCTAATGGCTGCTCCCAGGGGATTCTAGAGGTGCCAGATGCACACCAGCCCACCTATATCTGCCAAGAGAAGGAGCCAGTCCCCCGCTCCCTCCACGTTACCCTGAGCGGACATCCTTCATTCTTACCCTGGCTAGGCCGTCCCATCTGGGACAGCTTTCTCCATGGCTCCTTCACAGACTCCTGCCACACTTTAGAAGCCAGAAGTGCTGGCCAAAGCTGTCAGTGATTCCTTTGCACTGGACAGCCGCCCTCACAGGAGCCTCTCCAAGGCCTATCTGACCAGCCCCAGATGGGCCCAGCCCACGCCAATGTATTTCTGATTAGGCAGAATGGAAATGCTTCCCAAAAAGGAGGCACCTGAAGTCCTGGCCACAAGGAGGGACAGAGCTCTGGTGCATATTTCTCTAGAAATCCTTAAACCCTGGAGACATTTCTCTGGGCTCTTCACAGCCTATCCCCTTTTACCCTAGAAGCAGTGGGCTTCCTGAGATGACCCCCAGGTGGGCTAGGCTAGCCCTGAGGCGAGAGGCAAGACCCTCCTTGCTAGATGTAGCAGTGCAATAGTTGTTCACATCTCACCCTGGTGACCATGCTGCCCGGGATGTTGGAGGATTGGCCCTGCCCAGAGAGGGGCACATCAGGGAGACGGCTGTTGATCAGAAATAGCTTTTGTCACTCTGTATTCTCACTAGGGAGGAAAATTAGAAGACAGAGCCCTTGGGCCTGACTCAGACCCTGACATGAGTTCTTGAGGGTGTGGACAACTGGGGTAACTCAGCTATCTTCAGTAGGTTCAGTGTCAAGGCCTATCGAAGCTGTTAGCCTGGCAGCCAATCAGAAGTGTGGTGTGGGTTAGCACCGCTGAGAAAGTGACTGTAGGGTGAGTCTAACCTAAATGGTGTGCCACCACTCACCTCTTACAACAGGAAGTCATCTGGGGAGACACCGAGCTCTCTGCTGTACACAGCCATTGAATGCTGAAAATTGCTACCCTAGGGATGGCAGCATCTTAAGATTCAACCCAGATAGGACATCTGGTTAAGGATGCTTCTCAGAGTCAGATGGAAGGTGTGGGAGGTATGGATGATATTGGGGAATATGTGTCAGGAAGTGGGGAGGACATAGGAGGAGGATTTTGACATCAGAGGAGAGAATAGCAAGAGCTAAGCCACAAGAGGGAAGGGTGGCTTCTGGGAATGTGGATCGAATTTTGTGCAGCTGTAATGAGGGTTGCTTGATTGCACCTGGAGATGGGTGTGAACTGTTGGCTGGGTGTGCACCGTGAAGGGTCTTGAAGGACCTGCTCAAGAGTTTGGAATAGGTGGCGGGAGTCGGTGGAGAAAGGACAATTGTAATGGAAAGTTACAGGGGCTCTGGGTTTGAATCTGATTCTACCATTTACTTGCTTGGGCGAGTTTACTCTGAAACTCAGTTCATTCATCTGCAAAATACCTTCTTGCAGGGTTCTGAGGATTAAGTGAGATAATGAAATGTGTAACTTTCATTCAGTAACTTTAGTAGACCGTCTTATTCAATGTTGTTCTCACTAGACTGTATATTATTAGAAGGTAGGGACTGTGTCTTATTCATGCCCAAACTCAGACACTCAGTCTAGTGCTTGCCTGAAGAAAGTGCTCAGTAAGGCTGGGCGCGGTGGCTCACACCTGTAATCCCAGCACTTTGGGAGGCCGAGGCAGGCAGATCACGAGGTCAGGAGATCGAGACCATCCTGGATAACACAGTGAAACCCTGTCTCTACTAAAATACAAAAAATTAGCCGGGTGTGGTGGCGGGCGCCTGTAGTCCCAGCTACTCAGGAGGCAGAGGCAGGAGAATGGCGTGAACCTGGGAGGTGGAGCTTGCAGTGAGATGAGATCGCGCCACTGCACTCCAGCCTGGGTGACAGAGAAAGACACTGTCAAAAAAAACAAAAAACAAGAAAAGGGCTCAGTAAATATTTGCTAAGTGAAAGAAAGAATAAGCAAGTAGAACTTGATACATAGTAATTATTCAATAATTTTTTGTTGAAATCTGAATGGAAGTTGTTATGGTACCATGATCAGATCTTCATCTCAGAAGGGTAACTGTGGCAATAAAAAGGTAGGGGGTTTGGAGGAGGCAGAGATAGAAACATGGGGAACTCTTGGAAGGCTTTGCACTAATCTCAGTTAATGGCACTCATCAAGACAGGAAATACTACGGGAGGAAAAGAAGGAGCAGGTAGCGGACAAGGGAGGGAATAACAAACTCAATCTTGACCCTGTTAAGAGTGAAACTCCAATAGGAAGGGCTGGGTACTCAGTGAGCTGTTACAGGTACCCACCTGGAGATACCTGGGAGAGAAAGAATTATGAGCCCTGAGTCTGTTAGGTGTGGTTGATACCAGTGGCATAGGTGAGACTTACCCCCCAAGGAGAGCAGGGGTACACAGGGGGAGAAGAGAAGACCCCAGGAAGCTGAAAGGAAGACGGGGGCATAGTCAGATGGAGAAAGTGGTTCCTAACTTGTTTGTAATGGACTATAATTTCAGGCATGTGGTTATTATGAGAGTAATCACAGAGGTAAACCATGAGGCCGCAGAGTATAGAGTTCAAGGACTTGGGTTCTGGAGTCAGACCCAGCGGAATTGATATCTGGCTCCACCATTAACTAACAGTGTGGATATGTGCAAGTAACTTCACTTGCCTTAACCTCCTTTTGCTTTCTGTAAAATATAGATAATAACTGTAGCTTCCTCATAGGTTTGTTGTAGGGCTTAAATGAAATTATGAACAAATTATTAGTACAGTGCCTGCACATACTAGCTAACGGTGATTTCAAAATATGTCTCAGGGGTGCGGTGGCACCTTGCCCTGGTTTTCAGCCTCTCTATATGCCACTACATCTGATCATAAGGTCATAAGGCCCTAAATCTGATCTCCACTGCTGCTACCCTTCAACTGGATAGTTGAGGAAACCTGATGTCCATAGTTGCTCAAGATACCATATCAAGCTGGAGTTGGAGCTGGGACTAGAATACAAGCTCCTGACTTCCAGTCCTGTATCACAGCTTTTCTGGTACATGCAGAACTACAGGGTGGATCTTACAAGAGGATCTGGCCACATGACAGGATTGTATCTGAGAAAGGAAAAAAGCTTAAAATAATGTCTTTCATCATCTAACACTTTGAGTTAGGAAAGTGGCCCATTCATCATTTCAATGGGGCTTTCTGAACCCCAGCACGACGCCATGGATTTAGGGCTCTGGCTGCTACAGCTTTAGATCCAGCCTCCTCTTCCTAAGTCCAGGGACAAGAATAGCCAGTTCCCATCCTTTGTGCGATCACATCTCAGGGCCTTAAAGGCTCTTGCTCAGACTCTTCCATGCCCCCTCCCTCTTACCCTGGCCAAGCTATCACTATTATTGATTATTCATAGGGAAGAGGTCCAGAGGTTCAGACAGGGCCATTAGATGCTTCAGGGAGTCCTGTCTTCCTTCCTTTGAGACCCTGGGGCTTCAGTCTGGATTTTTCCTCCTGGAGGCTGGCCAACTTTGGTATATTATATATGATCTTTGTATATTTCTTCTAGTCCTAAAGTCCCTGCCAGCACAGTCTCTGTTTTGCTGACTTCTTACACATGGCTTTCTTCCCAACCTAGATTCACTGACAGCTGGGACAGGGTAGGGAAAGAGACATTAACTAGAAGTCAAGAGGCTTTGAAAGTAATGAGCTGTGATGGAACAAGTTACTTCCCTCAGTTTCCTTATCTATAAAATGGGCATAGTACCTGCTCTTAGGATAAAAGAGTAGCCTGGGGGAAATAATGGATGTTAAAAAGGTTTGAAAGACCCTATTCAGATGTCAGATTTTCATAAGGTTTGGAATGGCAGGGAGCAGTACCCTAAAAGAACACAGTGTCCCTGAGAACTTTCCTAACCAGGTCTGGCATCTGGTGTGCTGCTTCTAAGGAGAGATTCATGCTGACTCCTGGGGTACCTTGGCTTGGTGTTTGAATAGGTTGTTATTAGCTGTATGTGAAGGTTGCATTGCAGAGCTTCCCGGCATGAATCCAAGGACACAGTGTGGCCACAGAGAATCTGGGGCCTGTTTTTTTTTTCTTAAGTATTAGATTCCCACTGAGCAAGGAGGTTCTTTTTATGAAGAAAAGCATGTTTCTTAGCTGGCTGGACAAAGCAGGTGAGCTGTTATTGATGGCCCAAGGATCACAGGAAACCACCTCTCTGGGGGAAACCCCCCAAACAGCCTCTAAAATTTGAAAAAAAGATTGCTCCAGACAAAGCCAGAACCTACTTTCACCCCCATTAATGTGAGATCTTCCCCTGCAAACACCCGGTAGCTCACCCCAGCCCCGGGTGCTGACCGTCTCCCTCCTCTTATCTGCCTGCCAGAGAAGACAGCTACTGGTATTGACAGTTCTCCTGCACCGAGGGCGGCCAGCCGGCTGGGGTGCTGACTCTCAGCTCTCTTGTTTTTGTGCCTGCCAGGCACTCGCAGGCTTCTGGGAAGAAGACTGTGTGGGAGGATGAAGCCAAATTGGGCTGCAGTTTGAAACCTTCCCGAGCACTGACGGATTTGGCTTAGGTGGGAGAGGGAGAGGGTTTCTCATGAAGGTAGCCAGAGCTTAAGATGGAGTTGGCAGCTTGGTGTCCGGGGGGCTGAGTCTAGTCCTCCACCCAGCTTATGTTTCCCCAGGACTGGATTGTTTCAGAACTGTAGGAAAAGCTACACAGATTTGGAGAGAGACCTGATAACCCCTCTCAGCCACAGTCCAGGGCCCTCCGGGGTCCATGAGCCATCAGACTCCATGAACATGGTAGCAAAGCCAGGCCTCTGAAGGCAGTTTCCCTGCCGGGACTCCAGCCCCCACTGTATTTAAAGATGGCAAAGTGCCCACCCAAATAGCCTCATCATTGCTGAGGGTCTGTACATGACAGTGACTGGGGCGTAGGCAGCTGCACACACCAGGGCTGAGTCCCAGCACACGTGTTCTACCTGTGTGACTCCGAGCCTTACTTTTCTCATCTGTACACAGTCTCTGTCTCAAGGCTATTGGAATGAGTCAATGATAGAGTGCACGTAAATCACTTGCACAGAGAGTTGTTCAAACAATGGTAGCTAGAACTGCTATTGATCTATTGTGGGGTAATTGTCTTAACTGCTTTGAAGGATTCAGCCCTATGTGTTCCTTTGTCCAGTCAGATGGGAAAATATAAATGAGCCCTTCTCAATGTTAGGAATGACAAGATCAGGCCAAGACCCCTCTTTCTCAGACTATCCGGAAGATACACAGATGACCTGGACAGTGTCTGCAGGCTCCTGTGTATCCTGAGGCTTCCTGAGGGCCAAGTTCTATGGGTGGGAAGGCAGCTTGCTCTCTAGGTTGCCATAACTCTGCATCTGATTTGCATGTGTTTGTGGTGACCCTGCAGTTTCTTCTGGCATTTCCAACTTAAAATATTGCTGTTTCCCCAGGCAGGGCAGATATTGATTTTTTTCTTCTCTAACCATTCCGATTGACCCGGCTCCCCCACCCAGCGAATGGGGGAGGGAGGGGGTGGGGGTGAGGAAGTGGATGGGGGAGAAGGGAGGAGGGATGGTGTTGCCCTTATAGCTAGCACCTTTTACTCCGTGGAACCTGAGTCACCGGGGCTGATGAGAATGGGCTCTTTCCAGAAGCAAGTGCATGATGAAGAAAGAACAGAGGGAATGTTCCCCCTCGGGTCCATCCTGGTCCCTTCTTTCCCTGCATCCCTTATATGACCTGCAGTTCCCTGAGTCCACTTGCCACCGGGGGCGGGTGGCACCCAGGCGGCGGGGAGGCGGGGGAGGGGCGCAGTGACAGCCGAGCCGGCTTTGAGGAACCTTGCAGAGGAAGTGGCTTCAGAACTGCTTTACGCGAGGGGCAGGAAAGGCGCGGGAGGCGGGGGAGGTGCGGAGATGGCGCTCTGCACGGCGGCGGAGGGAGGGCGCTGGCGCCGGGGACACGAAACCGCAGAGCCCGGACGAGTCAGGGAGTGAGGCGCGAGCCGGGCGCCCGGGGCTCTGCAGGCGCAGGCGGCGCGGGGACAGGAGCAGGTTACCGGGCCGCCCGAGCGCTCGCACCCCGCTGAAAGAAACGCAGGCGGCCCGCCGGCTCTGCCTGGTCCGCTACCCGACCAGCTCCCGGCTCGGGGCTCAGAGCTAGGGGCTTACGCCAAGCGGAGCCCGGGGAGGGGTGCCCACCTCCCTCCGCCGCATCCCAAGCCCGGCCCCCTTGATGCGCTGGCGGCCTCGGCCGGGAACTCCGGGGTAGATGACCGTGGACAGCAGCATGAGCAGTGGGTACTGCAGCCTGGACGAGGAACTGGAAGACTGCTTCTTCACTGCTAAGACTACCTTTTTCAGAAATGCGCAGAGCAAACATCTTTCAAAGGTAAACATAATAATGGAATGCAGGAGCCTTTCGTGGGGGGAAATAACCTCTGTGGTCAATCTAGAAGGGAAACCTTGCTCCCAGCAAAGGGACAAAGCCACATGTCAGGAAAGTGGCCAGGCAGTTGCCCTGAGGGCTGAGCATCGTATCTGGAGCCCTTCAGGGACCTGCACTATTCAGTTGGTCAGCCCTCCTCACAGCGGTTCCATCCACAGATCTCTTCAAAATGGCTCTCCAGAATGTGGGGGCTGCCCCTGGCTGGTAGATTGGCTGCAGGTTCACCTGTGCCTGAGTGCACGGTCTCATAACCGCACCCCCTCCCCAAATCCTAGCTTAGAAGTTCTAGGTGGAAACTGAATGCCACCCAATCCCACAATAAGATAAACATTCATCAGTTGATAAACATTCATAAACACACATTCATCGGTTGGGACTTCCGTATTTGAAGTGGCCAGAAACCACCTTAAGTCGTAATCCAGCAACTTTGCAGAAGTCCAGGGTGTTTTTAGAAGCAGACGAAAACTTCTGGCCTAGGCTGCTGTCATGCTACCACTTTAACTTCCTGGGTCGGTTTGGGTAACCTGAAGGGGCTTGCGTGTGTTTCCTGATGGCATGACTTGTATTTCCTAAAGGTGTCCGCCTCTAGACACCCAGCAAGCCTGGGTGCCCTGGCCACTCTCCTAGTTGGCTGCAGGCCTCGTGTCTGTCAGTATCTTGGTGGGAGTGGAGGTAAAGCTGAGTTTGTTTATTTGTTTTGCTACTTAGATGAGAGGGCTCCAAGCCAGGTCCTTAGAGAGGTTACCTAGAAGGGGCTGGTTTATAGACAGAAGTGAGCTGTTATATTTCGCAGGTGTGTGGCAGGCTCATCATTAATTCAGCAGTGCTACACCAATTCAAATTAACCAAAAACTTCCCCAGGCCTGACTCTGAGGCCTCCTTTGTTAATAATTCATCTTGCCTGTAGGCTCTGCCTTTCCTGGATTCTGAAGTCAGGCAAATATACTGTACCTTCCAATTGTGAGAAGAGGCCCAAGAACCAAAGAAGAGATTGTGATTTTATGTTTGAAGGAGTCAACTAAAATAGGCCCCTGTAACTAGCACCTGTTTTCCAGGGCACCACTCATGAGGCTGGAGAGCAGGGGATGTTCCAGAGGGTGAGGGGCAAAGGGACAGGCGTCCCTTTCCCTGGCTGTAGGTGGGGCTCCTGCAGAACACCGTGGCTGCAGAGGGGAGGTGTCCCACCCTCCCGTGGGGTTCTTGCCGCGTGGTATAAGTCCCCCAAATCCCCACAGATACTCCAGCTAGCTAGGTATTTAGACCAGTGGTTATCAATCTTAGCTACACACTGGATTCACAGGAAGCTTTAGAAAATACTGGTGATACCTGGTTCCCATGCCCAGAGCACCTGATTTAAATGGCCTGGGGTACAGCCTGGGCATCAGGATTTTGAAAAGCCCCCCAGGTAATTCTGATATACAGTTGAGGTTTTGAACTATTTCTCTAGAGTGTTTTGTTGCTGCCTGGGAAGGAAATGGTTCCTGTTTTTAAACCAAAGTTTAGGTGCTGTGCCTGCCTCTCACTGCCAGCTAGGCTGCAAGCCCTCAGTTTCAGAGGGTGAGATTTTTGCATAATTAGGTGAGGAAGAGGCACTGCAAAGATGGGGTTTCTTTTACTTGGCAGTGGAAAAGATAACCGTTTCTGATATTTCTTGGGAGGAATAGAAATATCCTATAAGAAAATACACTGGGATGGGGTTGGTGTGGGGGATGGCTTGCTCCATGGCCTGAACAGCCATCTCTCTCCCTTCTTCCCCCCAGTTCTCCTTCCTCACCTGCCTCCAGAAAATACACCTTTGGTTTGGTCCCTGCAGAAACACTTCCTGTACTTTGTGTCTTGAATCCACCTTGTATCTTGAGGCCTCTGTATATCTTCCTGTGTCATTTTGCTGGAGTCTGTAAGCCCTCAGAAGACAGGAATCCCTTCTAAGAAACTCCTTTTACTGAACCCCAGAGAGGGTGATCAGGGATAAATGCTTCAGGGTGGTGGGCACGGCCCCTCTTATCCTTACGGGAAGCATCTTGACTGGATATTCAGGTCAGGGACAGTGTTCCTCAGCACGAGGCTGGCCTTCAGCACAGAACTCTCCAGGGAGGGGCAGGGCTGGGTGAGCAAGTGCAGGGGTGGACTGAGGAGGGTGAGGCAGGCTGAGCTGGGGACGCGTCCTCCAAAGGTTTCAGTCTTTCATTCTTCTAGGTGCCTTTTTACCTTCAATGACACTTTTCCACTCTCTTTTCTCCCTTGGATCACTTCTGGAAAGGGTTTTAAAGAGCTCTGCCATATTCTGACCCCATTCTGACCTCTTACAGTGCTTTTATTCTTACCCAAAGAGAGATCACGCTTGAGCTCCTAAGAGAATTTCTTTTTCCTGTCTCCAAGGAAAGGAGTTGATGTGTTTCCCGGTCGTCGAGAGATTGAGGCCCTCATCTGGGAAGGGCTGAGCTTGCTTCTATAAATAGCCTTGTCAGAACAACCTGTGTGGCTGCTCAGTTTGTGCCTGGCTAGAACAGAGCTTCAGGGAAGCCTCACTGCTGTGCGATGCCACCACCTGGGAGTTGCCACTGGTCAGTCCCAGGAGTTCCCAAGACTCCTCTCCAATGCCCTTTGGGAAGAGGTCGGAGGGGTGGGAAAGGTCTCCCCATTTCATAGGAAGGGGGTGCCTAAAGGTCAGGAGACAGCAAGGGAGATGGGGGCACCAGGCCCTGGGCCCTAGCTTGGTCTCTCTTTTCAGAAAATGGCAGTTTCCTGGGGCCACGTGCCTCCTTTGAGAGGGGCCGGGGACTTGGTTTTGAATCATACCACAGTTTTAGGAGGCTGAGGCAGTACTCTCCTGGTACTTTCCCACTTGGCTAGGCACAATTAGATCGTGTTTCTCTGGGTCAGGCATGTCACAAATGGGGCCTGGGGGAGAGCCAGCCTGTGGGCTTGGGCAGTGCAGACGTAGATGGTCTCAGTAAGACCATCATAGTTACCTCAATCTAAGGTGTTGCCTAGATGGGTAGGGGGACTTATCAGGTCACAAGACAAGGTTTTGATGGACCCAAGGTTAGAACTTCCCTCTTTTGCCTCCCAGGCCAGAGAATTTTCTTCCTTAGTCCCACAAAAGATAGGGTTTGGTGATTTGTAGGACTGGTGACTGTGAAGCCAGGCCAGGCCCTCTGTCCATCCCTCATATTTGTTCATTTTTTTCCTATCAGGGATCTGACCCTGGAAGTGGGGCCAGCTTCCATTCTTATCAATTTCCCAAATGCCTACAGGTGGTGGCCATTTAAGGCTTTGACATCTGAGCGGGAACACAGGCGTTCTGAACTCTTGGCATGTTAAACAGGCTCTGGGACCCCAGGACTCTGGCACCGGCCCAGAGCATTGGGGTGAGTGCTCTGAGGACAATACAGCTTTCTGCTTGCAGAATGTCAGAGCACCTCGCTTTATAGATGGAGAAACTGAGGCCCAGAGAGGTGGAAGGACGTCACTAGGCCACACATCTGTTTGGGTAGAGCCAGGACTAACACCCCTCCAGGACTCCTTGTCAAGTTCTCTTCTTCTTGGTCTTTTCCTACTCAGTAGATGACCCAGGATAGACCGTAGGTCTTGTCCTCTCAGAACCTTCTACAAAATGGAACACTCAACTTCAGGCTGGGTCAGGTTTTGAAAGGTCCTTCCCATCCCTCCATTCCTTAAGGCATGCTAGCTAAGGGGACATTGACCCTACACTTGATTTTAGCAGGTAGTCCCTGTAATCTTACAACTTTAGTGACTTAAAAGTTCTTCTTGGTGTCTATCCTACAACTGAAATATGTTAATAGATAAACCTCTATCTTCCCACTGGAGACTCCTCCTCATGTGTGTTTTTCTCTGTGGATACAAAGAACAGAAGGTTGACTATATCTACAGTTAAATATTTTTCTTTTTCTTTTTTTTTTTTTTTTTTTGAGATGGAGTTTTGCTCTTGTTGCCCAGGCTGGAGTACAATGACGCGATCTCGGCTCACTGCAACCTCTGCCTCCCAGGTTCAAGCAATTCTCCTGCCTCAGCCTCCTGAGTAGCTGAGATTACAGGCACCCACCACCACACCCAGCTAAGTTTTGTGTTTTTTTTTTTGAGTAGAGACAGGGTTTCACAATGTTGGCCAGGTCTTGAACTCCTGACCTCAGGTGAACCCCTACCTCGGCCTCCCAAGGTGCTGGGATTACAGGAGTGAGCCACCGCACCCGGCCTATAGTTAAATATTATACTTAAGTACATAGAAAACACACTCCCATGCCCCCATCTGCCTAGGCTTTCTTGGGTCTACAGTGACACCATTGAATTCTTTTTCTTCAAGGAAGATGCAAGAGGAAGAGGGTCCTGGAGGTCAGATCCTACACTGCTCCCTGTTCCCTGCCTGTAATTGTTCCATCTCCTCCTGCCTGGCCAGTCAGCTCCTCCCTGGACAGGATCCCTGTGGTACTCCAGGGGCACTAGCCAACCCCACAGCCCTGGGACAGTTGGGGAGGTCCCCATCTCTCTGCTAGCAGCAGGCACACCCAGGCCTCAGGCATGGCACCTGCCCCTCACCACCTCGGCATGAGAGAAAAGAAAAGATTACTAAAAATAAGTTAGCTCCAAATTTCAGCAATAAAAATAAAACTAGAATCTTTGGAACCACTGGCCCATTTGACTGTTTTTTATGTGCTGTCTCAAAGGCTTACATGGCCCAAGACTAGTCCCAGAAGAGATTTCAGACTGGCACAGCCTCCAGATAGCCTCATTTAGAGATGCCGTCCGAACTCCACACTCGTGGGATTCACTGCCCGCTGCCTCCTCTGGCCCTTCCCAGTATTGTCCGTCCTATAAGATCAGAACTCGCATCTCCTTCAGGTCCAACAACATCAAGTACTTGGTTACAAAAGCCAGTATTGGCCGGGCGTGGTGGCTCATGCCTGTAATCCCAGCACTTTGGGAGGCCGAGACGGGCGGATCACGAGGTCAGGAGATCCAGACCATCCTGGCTAACCTGGTGAAACCCCATCTCTACTGAAAAATAGAAAAAATTAGCCAGGCGTGGTGGCAGGCTAACTACTTGGGAGGCTGAGGCAGGAGAATGGTGTGAACCCGGGAGGCGGAGCTTGCAGTAAGCCAAGATCGTGCCACTGCACTCCAGCCTGGGCGACAGAACGAGTCTCTGTCTCAAAAAAAAAAAGCCAGTATTGACCAAATACTGCTTGGGTTGAATTGCTGCATCTTCTCTCTTGCATCCTGTACAATCAGGATGGACTAACTTGAAACAACCCCTGCTTTTCAGTCATTGAATATAATCAGAGGTTTATTTCCCCCTTTACTTAAAAAAGTTAGATTGGCAGGTGGGGATCAGGATAACACATGGGAAGCTTGTGGGCCAGACCCGGAAATGGTGGGTGTTTCTTGCAACCACGGGCCATTGGCTGGAACTCAGTCACGTGGCCACACCTAACCACAGGGGAGGTTGGGAAGTGAAGTACAGCTGTGAGCCCTGGTAGAAAAGGAAGCAGGTTGTGGTGAGCATTTAGCTGTCTCTGCCACACATGCCTCCTGCCACCGTTTCTGCGCCAGGCACCTGGGAAGCTCTGCTCATAACTGCTTGGTAAAGGACATGACCTGTTTCTTTGACCTTGTACCTCTCTCTCATCTGTCACTGAGGATATTCTGTTCTTGGGATTGGGTCCTGTCTCCCCCATCTAAACTGGAAATCTCTTGAGGACGGGTGCTTTTCCTCACTCAGCACTTCTCTGGTTTCTCTGTAGCATCTGAAACCTTCAGTGTTGCATCAAGGTGGCCTCAACCACCTGCACCAGAACTACTCTTTGAGAATGGAGTTTCAGGGGCCCTACTCCAGAGCTACTGGCTCCTGAATCTTTGGAGATGGGACCCTGGATTCTGCTTTTCTAATACTTTTCCCAGGTGATTCTCATATATGCTGCAATCTAGGAACCACCTGTTTAGGAAATATTTGGTAATTGACTGCTTACCCCAATTGGAATGCAAGAAGAGAATGTGTCACAGATTCCTAAGAGGTTCCTAGGCTGGAAACTGAAGTCTAGAGAGGGAAGAGGATTTGCCCCCAGTCACACAGCTCAGTAGAGACAGATTCAAGGAGTCAGGCCCCCTGGGTCCTGCTCAGAGCTTTCTCTGCTAGTCTCATCACCACAAGCTGAACTCTTATTTCAAGGCCCTTTGAGATCTTGATGGCACATGATGTAAGGGAAGACACACAGCACTAACTGTAAATGAAGTCCTCCCTTCCCATCCAGCTCAAGCCACTAAGAGGTTATGGCCAAGTCATTTCAATCATCAGACTCAGGTACTTCATCCTGTCCTTCTCAACAAACACCCTTGTCATGTGAGTGTCCTTATCTTCCCTGCTGAGAGTCCCTTGCCTCTTTGCATGGGAACAGACCCTTTTTACTAGTTTCTCATGGGCCTGGTAGGGATTCTAGATATTGGCTGCCAAGTTCTCTAAACCATAAGGACTTCCCCTAGGGAGGGGTCAGAGAGACGACCTCCTCCAGGACCACCTGGAACTCACCCAAGACATCCTTGTTCACACGCCGCTTAGTCCAGGCCATCCCTCACTCTCTGTTCTGGTTCCTCCCCTCCTGCCCTCCTTCTGTCTTCACAGGTTTAGATAGTTTATCCAGAATCAGCTTTTCCCTATAAAGCAATTTCACTTACAGTTTGGGACACATAATATCCACCCACCCAAGCAGTTTAGGGAGAAAAGAAGAAAGATTTTATGCCAGTATCAAACCTTGAATCCCAGGTCTTATTGCACACTGTCAGATCAGGCTTTGGATCCAACTCCCAGCCTAGGAGCTTGAAGGGGTCCTAGCTTGGGGACCTCGATTCTCTTCTCTTCTGCTCTTCACTTACCAGGTACCCCACACCTGTGTATCTTCTGGCTTTGGGAGCTCCCTGGGTGGGGAACTGAGACCTGTCCTGCAGGTCCTTGGTTTCTTCTTCTTCATGGTTTAGTCTACCTCAAAGAGCATGGGGTGGGGATCCAGACCTAGCCTGGCATATTTTCCAGAGACAAGAGGATGAGATAAAGTGCCACGAATCAGGAGCACTTGATTTCAGGGCCAGGAGGAAGAAAAGAGCTGCACTGACAGACAGCTTCAGGCTTGAATTGCTGAGCCTGTGGCTTCTGTTCACAGAAGGCTTCTGTCCTGGGGGCTCATCTCCCCTCTTCTCCCACAGCATCCCAGCTTTAGCTAATCACTCTCCAGCCTACATCCCTCGCCCCACCTCTCTTCCTAGCTCTAGAATGGCATTTTCTACAGCTTCCTGGAGGTCTCAGATACCTTAAATTTAGTATGTCCAGAACCAACTCATAACTCATTTATTTCTCTGTCTCTGCCCCACCCTCCTAGTCCCCCACCTTCAATACCTCAGGGGTCTTCACCTCTTCTATTCACCCCATCTGTCCCCGCAGTGCTGCAGAGGTCAGGCCTCTCCTCTCTGTCCCCGCCTCACCCTGTGTTGGCTGCTCATAGCCTCTCACTGAGATGCCCCAGTAAGTCAGTTACCCTGCAGTTTCAATCCTGTGTTTTCCCCTCTGTGTATCCTGCCTACAACTGCCAAGGGCTTATTTTTCCCATATCCCAAAATTTTCCCAGGTTCCCTTTCCTTCCGGAGTGAAGCCCATACTTGGTTCTCCCTCTTTAGTACAGCGTCCAAACTCTGCAGCACCTGGCCTCAGTCAGAATGTTGTGTTTTTAACTTTCCTATAGCACTGAGCACCACAGGTGGGGGACATAAAGATGGATGAGATGGGGTTTCTGTACTTGAAGGCCTTAGGGCCCCCAGCCCACATTGTGTAACAGACCCTAGCTGCTCCCCTTCCCCATCCATGAAGTGTTTGGATGGAGGCCCTTCCATATCCTAGTGGAAGATGCTCTCAGCAACTGCCTTGCAGCCACATGGCCTTTATCATGACATGGCAGCAACTCCTGAGACAGGGAGGATGGAGGGCCTGACTCCTAGAATCAAAGGGTTTGAACAGGAATTGCCCACGAGGGGCTGGGAACAGGCTGCCAGCAGACACAGTGACAGAGCTGCACCACCACTGAGGAGGATGGAGGGGGATTTACCTCACCTCTGAAAAGCAGAGCCTCCTGGAGCTGGAGGAGATGGTTAGGGGTTATCACAGCCATTCCTCTGTCCCCATGCAGGACTGCACATAACCCATGACAGGCAGGGGAAGGAAGGTCTGTTCATTACCACCATCCTAAGTTAGTTTACCATCTTAGACTAAGTTAATTTACCATCCTAAGCAAGAAAAGCAGGGAGGGAGGCAGCAGAGTGTTCATGCCTGACAGATGTCGCTGGCGGAATTTCTGCTACCATCAAGCCAAAAAGTTGACACATTCTATGAGGTAACATGTGAAAGGGGGTGAGCCAAGGGCAAGGTTGCCAGCCCCCATGCTTGTCCAGCTCTAAAGCACATGCTCATCCCACCACACACACAGCTGAGGGAAGAGTCCAGCTTTGAAAGGCTCCAAATAAGCTCCAGTCACCCCTCTCAAGCTCTGATGTCCTGCCGTAGGAAGCTGTTTTTCTCATTCAGTCAATTTCCTGATGCTGAAATTCAGGCCGTTTTTTCCTGTTCTAGTCTTGGGAAATCTGGGTTACTGTACTTTGTTATCATGATCATCTCATCAGCCTCCAATTCGTGAACCCCTCATTATCCTCCTCATCTCCAGGCTCTCCCCCATGTGGTGAGTGGTGGTGAACTGTTCCCCCCACTTTGCTGTGGATGACATGCAGGAACTGGGTCTGCAGGGCCCTCGCTTTGCAGTGGGGAGCAAGAGGCAGGTCTTCTCACCCCAGAACTGAAGCTCCACCTATCCCCTCCGTTGGCTGGAGCACAGTGAAGAGGCACTTGGCACCTATAATGTCGATGCTCACAATTGGCTGGGAAGGCGTGGGTTCAGGAGGAGAATGTGGGAGCTGGTGATTCCAGAGTGTTAGAGGGCATTTCCAGTTGTAACTCAGATGTCCCCTTCTCTGTGCTCCCCAAACACCTCGCCGCTCTTTCTCTCCTATCTCTCCTTTCAATGGGCTATAATTTTCTGGACCAGGGACCATAGCTTGTTCATCACTGTGTCCCCTGGCACGTGGTAAGTGCTTAATGTGGGTTTGACAGAGGAGGAGTGGGTTTGGAGCTTCTTTCCCAGGGGACATGAGCAAGTACTTTAGGGCAAGGTTTGTGAAAGTTGATCTCAGGACTATTTTAAAGGGAAGCTTGCTAAGATTCTGGATGTGGAATAAATGGATTTTTCCAGTTATCAGGAAATGAAAAATCCCACTGAGTGAGCAGAAAATGCAAGGACAACTTTTCAAACCTACAGCAGCCCCCACCACCCCAGCTGTGATTGTTCAGCTGTTTGCGCTGGAGGAAGGGGGTAGGCAGGGCTGGGTCACTAAGCAACCAAGCCCTGGCACCTGCTGGCAGGAGAGTTGGCGTGGGTCTTCTGTCTTCCTCTAGTGGGGCCTCCGAGGGGGTTGGGCAGAGGGGTCCATGGGAGGGAGCGGGGGAGCCTGCTCTGACAGATTCCCTCTGTCTGCCTTTCAGCTTTGGGGAATGGCAGATTGGGGAGGAAGAAACCCATAAATCTTTTGTTTATTTTACTCTCCCAATTTAATATTGAGTGGGTGAAAGATCCTGGTTTGGCAGTGCCATTGGTCTGGGCACCCACAGTCAATGGATGGAGCGGGGAGGAGCAGGCTGTACTGGGGCCCTGTACCTGAAGGGAGCCTGTCCCTGGGCCTGGGAACCCACACCCAGCCTTCACTGTGTGTGACCTCGGGGAACCACCACTCTAGGCCTCACTTTCTCCCTCTGTAAGACGGGAAGACTTGGCGAACTCTGGGGCTGGGGATGGTAAAGGCCATTTTGAGAAACACAGTTGCCAGAGGTAGGGCTCATGACTGGGGTGTGTGGAGGTATAAGGCTGTGTTCACAGACAAGGGCAGGCACAAGGGGCTGCTGGGAAATGGCTGGAATGTGCGATAGTAATGGCTGGTGATTGGGCGTTGATATGTGTCAGGGACTGTCTTAGGTGCTTTACTGGTAAACACTCAATCCTCAAAACTACCATACGAGGTAGGTACATTATTGTTGCTACTTAAGAGGAAACTGAAGCACGGGAAGGGGTCAAATAATGTGCCCAGGGTCACATAATAGTAAGTGGCAGATCCTGAAGTTGGACCCAAGTAATCTAATGCCAGAGCTCCTAACCACTAAACTGTAGCTCTTTCCAGAACTCTCCAAGTAGTTGAAGCTCTTGACCTCACAAAGGATGCCCACAAATGCAGCCTCATGACAGCAGTACCATCTTGGAGTCACTGAAGATAGGACCCTTTGCCAGGCCATTTAGGGGACAGAGGAGATCAAATGTCCCTGCCCCTGGGCCTTTATGGCACAGTGAGGGGACACAAGCATTAAAAGACTCAGAGCTAGTTAATAGCTAAGTGGATATGTTTCAGTATCACATATTAATCCCTGAGCACCTGGGTGCCAAGACTGCCAGCCCAGGGTGGGGTTAACAGGGCACGCAGCATGTGAGGAGAGGACTCGTGTGGGCTGGTGAAGAGGCGCCCCAGCCCTCAAAGCTGCAGGTGGAGGGAAGCCAGGAAGGGCTGCACTTCCCCAGTGGTCAGCGCAGGCTGGCGTCCTGGCTGCTGGCGCAAGTCTCAAGCTGCCCCTCCCCTTCTAGCAAGCATGGGCGGTGTGGGTATGCGGGGTGCTGGGTACTGACTCACCTCCGGAGACCACTCGGCTCCCACACACCACCTCTGAATGATCTGAATCATTTATGAGGCTGAATGCCCTGTCCTCCAGGGAGCTCCAGCTGGAGCTGGAGCCAGCATATGGAGGTGGAGAGAGCTCCCGCAGTCACCCGGGCCCTGTACAGCCTGCAGGCAGAACCTATAAACTGGACTCCTAAAGCCACTCCTCTCAAGGCCTGGAGATTCTGCTGAGTTTCACTCTTTGGCTCTCAGAGCATCTGGAACTCTACATAAAGCTGAGGAACCCTTTGTTTAAACCATTCTTGTGCAGGAAGTTCACTATGTGAGGGCAAGGATGTGATTTGGAGGTGGGGATGGATAGCTCCAACGGTGAGCCAATACGTAGCTCCTAGCTCTGGAGCACCAAGAGTGTGCCGTGACTCTATGACCACATCCATCTCTCTAGACGCATATGAGGCTGGAAAGCCAGATGTTGACCTAACCCTGACCTTGCCATGACAGGGTAGTGGGAGAACATCTGGAGAAGGCTGGGAAGTCCCCACTACCTGAACCTCCTGTAGGGGCCAAGGCAGAGCTTCCGCTTGGCCCTCTGAAGGTTTGCTGAAAATCACTGCCATGAGGCAAATTGATGAGCAGGCAAAAAGGCACACACATTTATTTAACGTGTATTCGCGGGAGCCTTCAGAATGAAGACCCAAGCCCCAGTGGGGTACAGAAGCCCATACACATCCTAAGGTTACAGAAAGACTGTGGGCTCAGAGCATGGCCCCAAATAGGTTATGGTTGGTAAATCAGGTTTTAGTGGCAACACAGGTTTTGGGAGGGGAAGAAGAGGAGGCTTGGCTAGCCAAGGTGGTCTTGTTATGTAGATGAAACCTCACAGGTAGCAACCCTCAGAGAGAAGACATGGCAAATGTTTCTTTCAGATCTTTAAAGATGTCAGACTCCATTAATCTCTCCTAGATCTGGACAAGGGAAGAAGCCTTGGCTGCATTAAAGGAGATTCTCTACAGATGCAAATTTCCCCCACAAAGGACAGCTTTGCAGGGCCACCTCAGTCTGCTGGCCCTGTGACAGCCATCTCAAATTATGTCAAAGTAATATATTTTATCTTTTTCATTCCTCATGACTTAGTTTGCTCTAGAATGTGGGTAGGTGGACCAGTTCATCTTGAGGCCCCTTCCTGATCTCTGAGCACAGGCTTCTGTGCCCCTGACCTTTCTGGGCAGTCCCCTGGGAGGTTTTGAGCAGGCATGCCCGCTACGACTGCAGCAGCTCCTTTGAGCTAGGCTGGGCTGTCCAGGTCATTTTTTGTGTTCATTTTGCATCCCAGGAGAGTGGCCTAGTCCTAGGAAAAGAGCCTGGTCTTGGAGGGCTTGGCGTGATGGAGGCCCAGTTGCTTAGATGTGGCATTGACTCCTCGCTTGGAATACAGAAAGTAAGGGAAGCTCCCAACTCTATGGGAAACAGATAAAACCAGCCAGTGACATGGCCTCCAGGTTTCCCCTGCCCTTTTTATTTTTTATTGTGGTAAAATACACATAACATAAAATTTACCTTTTTTTTTTTTTTTTTTTTTTTTTTCCCCAAGACAGAGTCTCAAATCTGTCACCCAGGCTGGAGTGTAGTGGTGCAATATTGGCTCACTGTAACCTCTGCCTCCCAGGTTCAAGTGATTCTCCTGCCTCAGCCTCCCGAGTAGCTGGCACTACAGGCATGGACCACCACGCTTGGCTAATTTTTTTGTATTTTTAGTAGAAACAGGGTTTCACCATGTTGGTCAGGATGGTCTCAGACTCTGGGCCTCAAGAGATCTTCCTGCCTCGGCCTCCCTAAGTTCTGGGATTACAGGTGTGAGCCACTGCACCCAGCCAAAATGTACCATTCTTAAGTGCATAGTGCAGTGACGTTAAGTATAACCTCACATTGTTGTACAACCATCACGACCATCCATTTCCAGAACTTTTGTTTTCCCCAACTGAAACTCCTTACCAATTAAACAGTAACTCCCTACCAATTAAACAGTAACTCACTATTTTCCCCTCCCCCCACCCCTGGCAACCACCATTCTACTTTCTGTCTCTATTAATTTGACTATTCTAGGAACTTCATATAAGTAGAATCACACAGTATTAATCCTTTTGTGACTGGCTTATTTCACTTAGCTTAATGTTTTCAAGGTTCATCCACGTGATAGCATGTGTCAGAATTTCCTTCCCTTTCAAGGCTGAATGAGATTCCATTGTATGGACACAACACATTTTTTGTTTATTCATCCATCAGTGGACACTTGGGTTTCATCCATCAATGGACCCTTGGGTTGCTTCCACCTTTTTTGGCTACTGTGAATCGTGCCGCTGCAAACCTGGGTGTTCAAATACTGGTTTTCTGATATTTGAGTCCTTGCTCTCACATCTTCTGGGTGTATACCCAGAAGTGTAATTGCTGGATCACATGGTAATTCTGTTTAATTTTTGAGGATCACCATACCATTTTCCACAGTGACTGCATTATTTTACAATCCCACCAGCAATGCACAGGGCTGCAGTTTCCCTGCATCCATGCCAATGCTTGTTATTTTCTTGTTTATTGTTTTTATTAATAAGCATCCTGATATGCATGAAATGGTATCTCACTGTGGTTTTGATTTGCATTGCCCTAATGATTAGTGATATTGAGCATTTTTTCATGTGTTTGTAGATCATATATAGATCTTCTTTAGAGAAATATCTGTTCATGTCCATTGTCTATTTTTTCATCAGGTTTTTTTTTTTGTATTGTGGTAGTTTATATATTCTGCATATCAATCCCTTATGGCATATATCATTTGCAAAGGAATACTCTCTAAATTGGCCTGAAAGAACTGAGAGAGCTTAGGAGAGAGTTGGCCTGGGATGGGGTATTGGGATCCACTCACTCACCTACCCACCGTCCATCCTTAATTAACTCTGCAGTACTCTGGTTCAGGGTGGTCTGGGAATACAAAGATGGAAAAGGTACAGTCACTGACTGTGGTGTGCTCATAGTCTAATGAGGGACACAGGCTTGTACCACTAACACTAACGTACAGAGAGTCAAAGCAATGCTGGAATAATTGGGCATATGCTGATGTTGTTGGAAAATCCACTAATTCTAGATAAGAGTGGGTATCCCAAAAGACACTGTCAGTTCCAGGGGCAGGAGGCCAATTCTGTCAGATGTAGAGAAGGGAGGACTTTTCAGGCAGAATGGTCAGATGAAGGGCTCAGGGAGACTGAAAGGACGCTGACCTAGGTGAGGCTGGGTGAGGGGACAGGGACCTAGCTGGAAATCCAAGGAGGAAAACACCCAAAGGAAGACCTTCTAGAAACTCCTGAGGGCATAAGATGTCCCAAGGGAAAATTCCTGTGGCCATCTCAGAAGATTGAGTGTCACCCTCTTCTGTCTGGTTCAAACTTTAGACCTCTGAGCTAAAAAGGGGGCTTCATGAAGACCTGGAGCAGGGGAGAACAGAAATGGAAAGGATTTGGGTCATCTATTTTCAGAAGCAGAGGACAGAATTCTCATCTGGTGTTCAGTAGTCTCAGAAGTAAATGGGTCCATGGACCAGCAATCCTACAAGACCTTTATAAAATTCTGGAACCTTTTAATTACCTTACATTTATTTTGGGGTTTAGGGTGCATGCGTGTTACTGCTTCTTTGTGTTTTCTTCAACGCATGAAGCCAATGTTTAATGAACCCCTATTGTGTGCCTGACACTGTTCTGGGAGCCGCCTCAGTGAACAAGCCAAAGACCCTGCCTTGAGGGAGCTTCTTCCGAGATAGCCCACACAGTTGTGTCCTAGGCCACAGCCTGGCCTTGGAGTGGCTGTGGATATCAGAAAAACCTCCAGAATTGAGTACATGGGCACAGCTTTACAGAAGAGCACATGGTGCCCCTGGGATGCAGCAGAGAGGAAGGGAGTCTGTCCAGACCTGGGGCTAGGGTAACCAAATGCACTGGTTCCCCCGGACTGTCCTGGTTTTAGCATTGAAAGCCCTGCATCCCGAGAAAACCCTCAGCCCCAGCACACTGGGACAGTCAGTCGCCCTACCTGGGACTGAACAGCTGGAAAGTATGGTCACTTCTCCATGAGGCACAGCAGGCATCGTGCCACAGGCACACACGACTTTAGAGGTCCACAAAAACGTTTTAATTTCTTTAAAATCATGAGAAAAAAAATGAACATTTAGGTTGAAGAAAGTGTTTTAATATAGGATATTGATGTATTTGTCTTTATACCGATGCAATCATAGAATATAATTTTCAGTGGGTTTTTTTTAATGGAGGAAGGGGCCCTTGGCCCCAAAGACAAAAGTTCTTAGGACCCATGAAAGTCATAATGTGGCCTTGGCTGAAGGGCCTATCGGGAATCAAGGTCCCATATTGGGTCCCCACTGACCAAGCTTTGGTCAAATGACTACTGAAGATGATAATGGAAAAATTTGGACAAATGACTACTGAAGATGATGATGATCATGATCATGATGATGATGGTGATGATGATAATTTGGATGATGACGCACTAGCTAACATTTATGGAGTGCTTACTGTGTACTTTGTGCTAAGCACTTTGAGGCCTGAGATCTCATTTCATCTTCACAACAAATGTATAAACTGCATTTCACAAAGAAATCAGTCTCCGTGTGGTGGCTCATGCCTGTAATCCCAGCACTTTTGGAGGCCGAGGTGGGCGGACTGCTTGATTTTTTACCTTCACATCAATCCCGTGAGGCAATAAAGGATTTTTATCCCAAATTTATAGATGAAGAAACTGAGGCATATAGATTTTCTGACTTTCTCAAGACCATGTAGTGAGTAATAGGAGTCAGAAGCCAAATACACACTCATGTTCATCCTGCAGGTATTTACTGAATCTCTGCTATGTGTCAAGCTGGCACTGGGATCTGGGACGCCATAGAGGGCAAGACAGGCACGGGTGCTTCTCTCACGGAACTCAGTATAAATGGAAATCCAAGGCTCACTACTGCACTGTAATTCCTAGGAGAAATTAAGACCTCAAGAACCACTGAAGCAAGTATTGAGCAAGTATTTCCTATTTGCCTCATGTTCAGAGCCACCAGGCATAGAGAAGTAGTAGCAGTGGATGTAAGTCATTAAAGAGCTTCAGTCTAGTTGGGAAGAAGACCCGAGATGGATGGTCTACTTGGAAGTTAATATAAGTAGCCAGGCGTAGTGGCTCACGCCTGTAATCCCAGCATTTTGGGAGGCCAAAGCGGGAGGATCACTTGAGGCCAGGAGTTTGAGACCAGCCTGGGCAATATAGTGAGAGCCCCATCTCTTAAAAAAACAAAATAGAAATCGGAGTCTTAGTGAGGTGGACTTGATCAAGTTCACAGAAGACCAAGGGCATGGCCAGCACAGGCCACCTGTGGCCCAGCGTGCAAGGCAGCATGGTCTAATGGTGAAGAGTAACAGCATCTTTCTTGTTATTTAGGGGATTAAATGAGATCAGGACCTTGAACCCTTCAGGGCAGTGCCTGACTACTGTCGGTTTTTAATATTATAATGAGGCTCTGCAGGGGCTTGAACTTAGGTCCCTGTAAGGGAGCTACTGTTCCCTGGTATAACCCACTCTAGCTGAGCTGTGCAGAGACTGAGATGGTCACCTCAAAGAGCAGGGGACCCCGTGTCCAGACTCTGGGGCATGCTGGCAACCTGAGGAGTCTGCGGGAGTGGCCTGATCTGTGCTGCTTGAGGCTTTTTGTCCCAGATCACACTGTACTTGCTCTGGTGTGCCACAGCGCATCCATCTCTGTCTTCCCTTCTCAGGTCACCTGCAGACTCCCAAGGACAGGGTCACATCCCATCTGCGTCATCTCTCAAGGTGCCTTTCACGATCCTCACCCATAGGCAGTTCATTCAGTTACTACTGGCGGACTGTTGACATTGACCATCTGCTCTACGTTTTTGTCTTTGGAGACTTGAGTCTCTTTCCATTCTCAACCTCCACCCGCCACCTCTTTTTTCCCTCTGCTCTGTTAATACACCCTACCAGAGCTGCTCAAATTCCACATGGAGCAGAAGCTCCATGATAAAGCCCCTTCCCTGCTCTGCTGCAAATAACCTATTAGGGAACACAGTTAAGGAGTTCCCAACCCTTTTAATTTTGGGACAATGGACAGTGCCATAGAGGGACCTGTGGAAATCAACCCCTTCACTGCTGTGGTGGGTCTGTGGAGTCCATTTCAGAACACAGGCCTTCGAAGACCTGGGAGGGGGCCCTGCAGTAAGGCCCCATAGGGATTCCTCTTTCTCATTTGGTTGAGACCATCACAAAGGGACCAATGACTTTTTTTTTTTTTTTTTTTTTTTTGAGATGGAGTCTCGCTCTGTCATCCAGGCTGGAGTGCAGTGGCGCAATCTTGGCTCAATGCAACCTCTGCCTCCCAGGTTCAAGCGATTCTTCCGCCTTAGCCTCCCGAGTAGTTGGGATTACAGGCGCACGGATAATTTTTTTGTTTTTGTTTTTGTTTTTTTTTTTAGAAGAGACAGGGTTTCATTATGTTGCCCAGGCTGGTCTTGAACTCCTAACCTCACCTTTGAATGCGGTTTGGACATTGAGCAGGGTATTTCAAATCCAGCCCAGATAGATGGGTGTCTGCCCCTTGCCTGCAGACGTTCCCATCTAGGGCAAGCACAACAGAAGCACCGGGTGTTTGGGGTGTGGAAGGCAGCTGCAGATGGACATTCTCCTGTAGGAGGGGCCTGAGGCTTTCCTCCCTGACTTAAGCCTGGAGATGGCTTCCTTCCAAGGGGTGAAAGAATTGCTGCTGACAGATTTGCTAAGAGCTGAGAAAGAGGAAATGTGGCAAAGGCTCATGGTGAATGGCTTCCGGGGTATTTTTTGTTTTGTTTTCTTGAGTTGTGTGTGTTAAGAATGCGTAGACCGGCTTGGGCTTGGCTAAGATAGAGTCTTGCTGACAATAGAGAAAAGTGGTGAGCAGTGAAAAAGTAAAGTCGTGGCGGTTAGAAATGTTCTTTGTGCTCCTTTAGATTGGTTATTCCTGCTGCCATTCAGCCATGCTAGCTAGCCTCCAAGAGGCCCCCATCTCCACACCCAATTCTCTGAAATAGAAGAGGAAGCAATGATGAGAAAAAAACACCACCCTATCTTATGTGTAAAATCTTAGTCCTGCGAAGGGGCCCTTAGAGCTTCTCCAGTATCACTTCATGATTTCACAGATAAGGAAACTGAGGCCCTGAGAGGGGAAGTAGCTCCCCAGACGTCACAGGTCATTTGATGGTCTTGCATTTGTTCTCATCAGCTAGCTGCCAAGAGCTGAGCCACACGGCTAACGCCAAAGTCCAAAGCCTGGTGTGTGTTCTTGGTATCAGACCCTCAGGGTGCAGCTGAGTGTGAGGTGCTCCTGGACCTAGGGGTCTGGGGTGGGCTCTGGCCTGAGACTCCCCAGGCTGTCTTGCCCTCCCCTGCCACCCAATCAACAGGTATTTATCTGACACCTACTTAAAGTTTGGCCCAGGTTTCAGCCAAGCGGGGTGCCAAAAAGCTTAGGCACCAAACTAATGTCTGCCTCCATCCAGAGAGCATCTCACTGGGGAGATGGGATTAACATGTGAAACAATCATTAAACAATAAAAGGCAGCATATAATTAGATGCCAGCTGTAGCCACACAGGCTCTGAAATCACCTCTATAGGCTCTTGCAGTATGGATTTAACATTAGCCAGCAGCTGCAGAGATCTGTGACGATGGTAATTTGTACTTTTGCTGCAATGGGAATCTGAGGCTTTGAGGCCATGGGGCTGGTGTTTGGGAGCGAGTCACAGAACCAGGGGGTGAGCCTAGCTGTCTACCTCCATCCCTACCCCAGCCAGCTTTGTTGCCTCCTCATTGCAGAATGGAGTAAAGTGAGCAAAATCCAAGGAAGTGCCCAAGCCTTTGTCTTCTTGTGAAAAGTGTCCATGAAATGAGAGTGAAGTTACAAAGGCCCATTAACTGGTGGTGTGAGGAAATACACAGGAAACATAGGAAGTATGATTCAGGAGAAAGAGAGACCAGGACAAAACTGTGATTACCTTTCTCCATGTGGGAATCAAAATGCCAGGGATCTGGTACATTAAGAGAGCAGAGGATGGAGAGATGGCTATAGACTGGAGAAATTGCATTGGGAAACTACATAGAGAAGGTGGAACTAGGGCTAATAGTGTTCTAGGCAGGAGACTCTGCACAAACAACAGCATAGAGCAAACTACTGCACATGGCCAGGTTCCATAAATAAAGTTTGTTTTGTTTTTGAGACAGGGTCTTGCTCTGTCACCTAGGCTGGAGTGCAGTGGCACAATCACGGCTCACTGCAGCCTTGAACTCCTGGGGGCTCAGGTCATTCTCCCACCTCAGCCTCCTGAGTAGCTGGCACTACAGGTGCACTTCACTGTGCCCAGCTAATTTTTGTATTTTTTTTTTTTTGTAGAGACAGGGTCTCACTATGTTGCCCAGACTGGTCTCGAACTCCTGGGCTCAAGCGATCATCCTGCCTTGGCCTCTCAAAGTGCTGGGATTGTAGGTGTGAGCCACCATGCCAGGCCCATAAATAGTTTTACTGGAACCCAGTCACACTCATCCAGTAGCTGCTTTTGTGCCACAATAGTAGAGTTGAATAGTGGCAACAGACTGCGTGGCCTGCAAAACCTAACATTTACTGTCTGACCCTTTACAGAAAAAGTTTGCCAACCACTGGTGCAGAGAAAGGAATTAACAAACTCTATGGGCATGTGGCCAATCAGAAGAAGGACTCAAGGAAAATGAAAACTGAAATTGGCTCAGAGGGGTAGAACTTTGCTTTCCTGGGATGATAGTCACCATACATGCCTTTGAATGGGTTTGGTGATTTTCAGAACACTTTTGTACCCATTATCTCATTTGATTTTTACCTTCACATCAATCCTGTGAGACAATAAGGGATTTTTATCCCAAATGTATAGATGAAGAAACTGAGGCTTAGAGATTATCTGACTTTCTCAAGATCATGTAGTTAGTCATGGGAGTCAGAAGCCCAACACACACTTGTGTTCATCCTGCAGGTACTTAACCCCTACTATGTGTCAAGCTGGCACTGGGATCTGGGACACCATAGAGGACAAGACAGGCGTGGGTGCTTCTCTCACAGAACTCAGTCTAAATGGAAATCCAAGGCTCACTGCACTGTAATTCCTAGAAGAAATTAAGACCTTTTTTGTCCACTGTAGGCAATAGGGGATCATTGAAGGTTCTTGAGCAAGTATTTCCTATTTGCCTCATGCTCAGAGGCACCAGGCACAGAGAACAAATTGAAGTATGATGTAAGTCATTAAAGAGCTTTAGTCTAGTTGGGAAGAAGACCTGAGATGGATGAGTCTACTTGGAGGTTAATGTAAGCAGCCAGGCGCGGTGGGTCACACCTGTAATCCTGGCACTTCGTGAGGCTGAAGTGAGAGTATTGCTTGAGGCCAGGAGTTTGAGACCAGCCTGGGCAACATAGCAAGGCACCTCATTTCTACAAAAAAATAAAAAAAATTAGCCAGGAGTGTGGCACATGCTTGTAGTCCCAGCTACATGGGAGGCTGAGGCAGGAGGATTGCTTGAGCCTAGGAGGTCGAGGCTGCAGTGAGTTGTGATTGCACCAGTGCACTCTCGACTGGGTGACAGAGGGAGACATCTCAAAAAAAAAAAGTGTGTGTGTGTGTGTGTGTGTGTGTGTGTAAGTAGATGCTTACTTAAGTGCCAGATAGTATAGTGTTGCCTTTAGATGTAGGTTAGCTTTAACCTTCCTGTGGCTCACTTTCCTTGACTGTAAAATGAGCATCATAATAGTATTTTTTGTGACACATTTGCTGTGATGATGAAATGAGCTAATACATGCTAAGTGAGTAGAATAGTGCACGGTACATATTAGCTGTAGTGAATCATCGTCATCATTCAGGGCTGGAGTGATCAGGAAGAGCTTGACAAATAAAGTGACTTCTGATGGGCAAACAGGTGTGAGATGATTCAAATCGTGGGCCAGAAGGAGGAAAGACTGACAAATTTAAAAAGAGTGAGAGTGAATTTTTTAGCAAAAATTAGGTTTGTGATTTTGGTCAAGAAAAAGTAGGCACGGATGTATATAATAGCTGCAGTACTGCCGGTGGGACACACGTCCTCCTCAGCCCACCCTCATCCTGGGGACCCCCTCTCATTGCCACAGCATTCCTGGGTGCCCTGGGCCCACCTGGGAATACCAGAAGCCACGTGACTCACTCAGAGCCTCTCCTTAGGGCATTAGGTCACTCTCCAGTCACCAAAATTAAGATTACATATGTCATTGATTAGAGTGCAGAAGTAGGGTTTTGTTGCTGTTGCTTTAGTGATAAAATAAAGAAAAACAGCTTAGGGCAAATCTGCCCTGAGTTAGGCCCCAGACGAAAGGGGTATGGTCCTCCTTATTTTGTTAAGAATATTTAAATGGAAGCATTAGAGAATCACTCAGGGTCGGGGTGTCGCTGTGAACCCCTAGCACCCAGCCTCTTTACATGGCTGTTCCCCAATCACCTCCAGAGCTAAAAGAAGACATTGCCCTTTTCCACCGCATAGGACATGTGAGCACAAACCTGTTTTTCACCAGTGCCCTGGACATGCCAAGTGCATTGGGAACAGCTCAGCCATCTGCCACCAATGCCAGGGGCTTAATCGGAATAGATGAATTCCATGCCAGATGCACTGAGATGTGTGAGCCCCCAGGAGAGACACCTCACATGCCAATGTCTATATTTGTTAAATCATAACAGAGTTCCCTATTCTGTCTCTATCTTGGGCCACCCCAAGAGGCAAAACTGTCTGCTTGGTTTCTCGCTTTGTACCCGTGGACAGATCCTTAAGAATCTGGCAGGTGAATAGGAATCAGAGTCTTTGTCTTATCCTCTGAAGATTGCTATAGTATCGATCTCGCTCTCATGGCAGATAGTGCCTGTTAGGTAAACCTTTGGGGTGTTTGTGTGTTTCTTGGCACCAAGTGTTAATTCAGCAGCTGGATGAAGACCCTTGAGGTCTGGAATTGTTGTGAGGGGTCTGTCTATTTCAGTTCTTTTCGAATGTTGCTGCGAATTAAAATCAACTAGGAGATTTTTAAAATTCCCATGCCCAGACTGCACCCCAGACCAATTAAATCAGAATCTCCAGGGATGAAGCCCAGGCAGCTAAGTTTCTAAAGATCCCCCAGATGATTGCACTGTGCAGACAAGTTTAAGAACCACTGGTCTGGATTATACGCCATCTCTTGGGTGGAAAAAGGATCCGTGAGCCCTCGTGGCTGTGGCTGGCTGGCCTAATTCAGGAGGTGATTCATTTGGTCCATGGGTCACATCTTGTCTGCCAGATATTTTTGTGGGCAGCAGCCATCCCAGACCTGGGTGCTGGCATTCCATGGCTGTGACATTCGTAGTGTTGGCTACACACGGGGCTCCTGGCACTCCCAGACAGGGCTTCCCATCACCAGCCAGAGGGCCAGGCCTCAGAATGGTGAGGTCAGGGCTGCTGTCTTTTGAGTCAGCCCTGGAAGGCAGAGGTGCCTGTGGCCACTTGCGTCACTTCCCCGCGTTTGTGGTGGGAAGGGGAGAGATAGATGGGTCTATCTGCTGAAGAAAGGGGAACAGGAAGAAGAAACCCTAGGCTAAGGCAGCTTTGCTTCTCACTGTATTCAAAATCAAGCCTTTGAAAGCCACAGCACAGCTGCCTTTTCTTACGGGGAAATGGCTCTAGCTTGATTGGAAACTATGAGAGGAGATCTTTCCGAAGCTTCTAGAATTTTCTTTCCATTACTTATTTTTTATAGACAAGTATGAGAAAGCTATTACCTCCTGAGGAGCAATAGCCTACATGCGTCAGAGACAGAGTGAGTGTATAATAGTAACCAGACAACGGGGTCTTTCTAATTAGAAGCTCCCAGCGGGAAGGTATAGGGGTAGGGCCAGGGTCAGGCACATCTGGTCCCATAGACATGTGCTCAGCTGGCAAGGACTGAGGATGGGGAGCTCTGGGAGCTACCCAAGGGAAGGGATGAGGAAAATGAGAGGCTTCACTGTGAGAGTCCCCGGGTTAATGGACTGACAGTGAATGAAGAGAGTCTGTGAGGCTCACACTACTTGCTACTCACCTCCGGCAAGTGGGAGATGGCCAGAGCTGCTTGCCCTTGGGTGGTCTGCAACAGAATCAAGGTTCAGTTCCAGAGACCTGGGAAGGCACACAGGAGAAGGCTGGGCCCTGCATCCTGGTGGCTGCATCTCACTTGAGTTAGAAGTCCTTCCTTCCCACCTTCACAGGTGACATGGTGCCTCTGGGGCCTGACCCGCTGCTTAGACTCATCTTAGATGAACATTTCACAGATCAGGTAACTTACAGGCTTTGGTTTAACAGCTGCTCATCCCAGCCCCGCAGCACAGAGTTTCAGTGATCATTATGGGTGTGGCAGGCCGGCCCCTTCAGCAAAAGATGCCGTCCCATGGTGGCTACATGGTGAATTGAGAAGAGCATGGGCCTTAGATGGATTTGATTCCAGTTCCTACTTAGCTTCTTACTAGCAGGGGACCACAGGCATGTTTCTTAAACTCAGCCTCAGTTTTGTTATCTGTGAAATAAGAATGACATACATAGTATGTAAGAGAAGGTATGTGAAAGTACCCAGCACAGGCTGTTATTAATAGGTCAGGACCCCTTGGGGAGAGTACAGCGGGAGCAGACAGGCCAGGGAACGATGCCATGATGGAAAGAGGATGTCAGAAGCTGGGTGCGGTGGCTCACACCTGTAATGCCAGCACTTTGGGAGGCCAAGGCGGATGGATCATTTGAGGTCAGGAGTTCGACATCAGCCTGGCCAATATGGTGAAATCCCGTCTCTACTAAAAAATACAAAAATTAGCTGGGTGTGGTGGTGCGCACCTGTAATCCCAGCTACTTGGGAGGCTGAGGCAGGAGAATTGCTTGAACCTGGGAGGCAGAGATTGCAGTCAGCCAAGATCGTGCCACTGCATTCCAGCCTGGGTGACAGAGGGAGACGAAAGAAAAGAAAGAAAGAAAGAGAGAGAGACAGAGAGAGAGGGGGGAGAGAGAGAGAGAGAAAGAAAAGGAAGGAAGGAAGGAAAGAAAGAAAGGAGGATGTCAGCTGTGCTGAGGGGTTGGAGGTGGGAGGCTGGAGCCACGCCAGCTCCTCTTGGCAGCCAGAGCCTGACATTGCATCGGTTCTGTGGGATTGGAAAGTGGAAGGAAGTGATGGCAGGTTGTTCAGGGTGGCGTGTCTCCCACATGGCTTGCTGAAGGGAGGAAGGTAGGGCAAAGCTCTGTCACGGAGGGGGGGCCCTGTTGTGTTCCGCGGGGTGGTGATGTGACGTCGCGGCAGCTGTGAAATTCCCCAGCCAAACCCAGACACCCACAGGACAGTGTCAGATGGTGTCAGAGTCATCCCTCACTGGGCCTCAGTTTCCTCATTTACCAAAGGAGAATCCTGATCCACCCCAAGTCTGCTACACTTGAACGTCAGGCAAATTCTGGGTGGGTTCTGACCAACCAGTTCCCACACTCCCAGCCACTCAGGGACAGTGTGAAGATAAAACCGGGAGGTGGGTAACAGTGAACTTGAGAGAGAGCCAGAGAACTGACTGAGGGACAGTGGCTTCGACCCCAGAATTCACCCCTGTATTGTCTCTACAAGGTGAGGGCCATTGACCTCAATCTCCTCAATTTCATTGTTCACTTATCCTTCCCAGGGGGTGGGAGGAGGAGGGCATCTGGGAACATATGAGAAGAATGAACACATGGTCTCACAGGAGGAACACAATGGGACAGACCTGGAATTTCTGTTTCATTCTGTACATACTGACTGTAGGGTGTGAGGCAGGTTGCTAAACTTCTCTTAGTCTCAATAGTCTCACCTGTAAGATGGGGTAATAAACTATCTTACAGACTTCTGGTTTGTGAGAATCATATGAGATAATGTATGCCAAGTACTTGGCACAGAAGAAGTGCTAAGTAAATTCTAGGTGTCCCTGTGCCCAGTAGCGGTTTATCTCCTCTTTTATGGTAGAGGGGGCTACAGCCCTTCATCCCTGCCAGTTCACTCGTTCATTTGACAAATAGATATTTACTTCTTGCTATGTGAAAAGCACTGTGGCAAGTGATGTGGGGCCTGGACTGGTCTCTATGTGTCCTTGGTCCTTGGGATCTAAGAGAATTCTTGTCTTCCCGATCAGTAGTATATACTGGCACCATGGGTAGACGCCTGTCCCTCCAGCTGTGTTGTTACTTCCTTGAGGAGACAGACCATGGCTTGTATTTCTTTGCATCTCCCATAGCATCAAAGAAGCATCTTTTCCATAGCAGCTTTCCATAAGCAAATGCGGCTCTGCTCATTCACCAGATTCATAGTCAGTGCCTGAGTGCCAGACGCTTTCACACTAATCTCAAGACAAGCCTGTGCAGTAGGTATTGTTCCCATTTCACAGATGAGGAGACTGAGGCTTAGAGAAATCTGAGTTACTTCTCCAGGAGGGCTGGCTAGACACTGGCACAGCTGCAATTTGACCTCTCATTGTCTCACTCCGAGTCCGTGCAGTTAGTTCCACTCTGCAGGGCTGGATGCTCACTTCTTGGTTAGAGAGGCTTTGGGGAGGGCGTGGTTGTTCCCTTTCTCACCCTGAGAACTACTACACATCCACCTCCACTTCTGTGTCTCTTCCAGAATGTCTGTAAACCTGTGGAGGAGACACAGCGCCCGCCCACACTGCAGGAGATCAAGCAGAAGATCGACAGCTACAACACGCGAGAGAAGAACTGCCTGGGCATGAAACTGGTAAGCGCCCGTCCACCCTCAACCTGGCCCCTGCTCCACCACCCGCTTCGGGTTTGGCGCCTCTGCCCTCACTCTGAATTCTGTGGCTACTCCCTGGCAGGTCCCCTCCCTTTCCTCCGGCCTCCAGAGGCCTCCGGGGTCTGGAAGGCTGATAGCCAGAGCCCTCAGTGGCCTCCATGTGCTTTAGGGAAATAGATCTGACTCTCATTTTTTGCTTGTGATTTTGGGAAGCTCTTTTAACTCCTCCTCTGAGCTTCAGTGTAAACTAAGTGATTAAACGGTACGTAATGACCAAGGGCCCAGTATTGCTTGGCCTCCAGGGAGCCAGGACAATGGGACTTAGTTGCTCCCCTTCCTACCCCTTCGATTGTGAGAGAGGGACATACTCTCTCAGAGAGGGGAGGGCACCCAACTTAGCACCCAGTTGGGAAAGGCTGTCTTCAATAGGGAGGGGAGAAGGTAGAAAAACACTGCCCCCTGCTGGTGGCTGGCATCAGCTGGCTCTTTGGGGTTCAGCCAGATGGAGCACCAGAAAATCCAGTCACAAATGCACCTAGGTTTAAGTCTTAAAGGCTGTTTCTTAGTAAAGAGATACAGGAGGAAATCTAGTGGGCTGGTTCTCCAAGGCCCTCATTATAGAGCCTTCCTGCTTCCTGCCTGGTTCAGAGGTACAAACTAGAGTGGCTACCCCACACCCTGCCTCTTACAATGGGCACTCACCAAAGGCAACTGGTTACAGGAGGTTTAGGGAGCTGGCCTGAGCCTCCTGGGAGGGAAATCCACTGCAGCCCCACAGGTCCTCTTTGGTAGCTGGATCCTGAGGGTCTTCTCCCAGCCCACTATGGGGAAAGGGATCTCTGCTCCTTCCTCCAGCTCTCCCACGTCAGCAGAGGCAGGAAAGAACTCAAGGAGACAGGTGGGTGCTGCTGGGGCAATGGCCCCGAGTGGCAGATATGATCATGCAAGGCGGACGGCCCTGACCCCCTGTGACATGCCCCCGCTGGCAGAGTGAAGACGGCACCTACACGGGTTTCATCAAAGTGCATCTGAAACTCCGGCGGCCTGTGACGGTGCCTGCTGGGATCCGGCCCCAGTCCATCTATGATGCCATCAAGGAGGTGAACCTGGCGGCTACCACGGACAAGCGGACATCCTTCTACCTGCCCCTAGATGCCATCAAGCAGCTGCACATCAGCAGCACCACCACCGTCAGTGAGGTCATCCAGGGGCTGCTCAAGAAGTTCATGGTTGTGGACAATCCCCAGAAGTTTGCACTTTTTAAGCGGATACACAAGGACGGACAAGGTAGGAGAAAGAGTGAACCCAACCAGACCGTTCCCTTCCTACCTGTGTCCAAGCCCACCCACTAAAACTCCTGCCGGCCTTGGGTGGGAGCTGTGGGCTTCTCCTGAGCACCAGGGGTCCAGCTGCCCATGTGGTGTTCAGATCTGTGGAATCCGGGCAGGGAGGCAAGAGCAGAGTCCCTGACTCTGCATGTGACTTCAGGAAAACCACACCCTAGGCTCCCATTTCCTGATCTGTGCAATGGGAGGAATCTGCCCCACCATTCCTAATCTTTCAGGAGATGATGTGAATGGAATCATGCTTTAAACTCTGAGCAGACACCCAAGATAAAAGGTTATTGCCCTGTTCATTACTGTCATGTTCATTTCATTAAAAGGCCCGTGTCTACTTCCAGTTGTACGTACCCCACCTCTGCATTTCCAATCCTTTCCCGCAAGCCTGGGCCCCGCCCTTCTTTTCTGGGAAGAGCTCCCAGCACCCTCTCTTGGTTTGCAGTGCTCTTCCAGAAACTCTCCATTGCTGACCGCCCCCTCTACCTGCGCCTGCTTGCTGGGCCTGACACGGAGGTCCTCAGCTTTGTGCTAAAGGAGAATGAAACTGGAGAGGTAGAGGTAGGTCTGGACCCATTGTGCAAACCCAGGCCTTAGGGCACCCTGGGTGGGTGCAGGTGGGTGTTGTCCTAACTACCTCACATAGGTGGGAGCCACGCAGCACGGGCAGGAAGGTGACTGTTGAGAGAGTGAGCAGGGGTGGGTGATGGGCCTGGGGGTCAGTGTTTCAGCCAGGACTCTGAACACCCTGGGGTAGCACATTAGGGCCTGTGTGTGGCAAGGCCTGTGGAAAGAAAGGATTTCATGTGCTTTATTTCTGAAAACTCAGGGAGGAGGGGGACCAAGAAACTCCCTGTGCTCAGGCACAGGCTGTTTTTGCTTCAAAATGGCCCGAGGGCTACCAAGCTCCATCTCTGGGCTCCACTGGGTATAGACGTTTTTGAGCCATTTGTCCTCCCTTTTCTTGACCTCCATCCCCCAAGGGGAGCTAACCAGTGTGTAGTCTTGTGGCATAAACTGGAGTAAAACCAGGCCGGTGCCACCCATGGCCTGAGAATGACCAACAGGGGAAGGTCTCAGTGTTTGTCACACTGTGTTCAGTGGAGGCCTAGAGTTTTAAGGAGTTTTGGGAGTCACTGCGGAGATTTAGGGATCAAGGCAGCTGGGACTCTGTCCCTTCTCCCCATTTCAGCAAGGGCCGCTCTGCTCCCATCTGCTTTCTTTATTGGCATCTGTGCAGAATATGTTTGGAAAAAGTACTCCATGGACAGTAGCTGAATGCTGCTGGCCCTGTGGAAAGCTCAGGCACTTTGAAGTGTGGAGACCTGGGCTCTAGTTCCAGTTCTGCTGCAATGAGCTCTGTGATTGTGATTACGCCACCTTCCCTGTGTGGACTTGAGGTTTCTCACTTATCCATAGCGAGGACCAAACCAGATAAACCTTAGTACTCTATTGTGCTCAAAGAGCTTAGGAGTCTCAATTGTTGGCCGCACAGGGCTTGTGCTCTTGGGTCAGCCTGATGGAAGTCCAAATTGCCTTCTGCCATCAGAGGCCAAGTCCTTTAGGGGTAGGCCTGGGCCAGTCAGGCTCTCATTATCTGCTCTGCCAGTCATGGGAGGTAGATACCCCAATTTCCCAGCAGATAACAGGCTGAGAAGGGTGGAAAGCTGTGCTCGAGGTCACACTGCTGGGAGAGGTGGAGTCAGGCCCAACCCCGGTCTCCTGAGTCCACGTTCCACTCCTCCACCTGCTTTCTGAGGGTCTGCATGTTGGGAGGCTGGGTGGTTCCAGCATCACTGTCAAGATCTCGGCTGCTACACAGAAACTTAAGATTATTGAGTTTCAAAATAAAAACATGGTTCATAGACTGGCAACTCTTGGTCATGAGATGCCAGCATTTGGAATTTTGTTGCTGCTATGACAGGCATGCAAAGCCCAGGCTTCGCTGATTCAGTCTGTTCAGTAGCAAACTGTGTGTGAATCACGGATGTGAACTGGGAAGGGGAAGGCAGCAGGGTCTCTCAGGTCGTGTCAACTTCTAACCTGTCTCCTATTCTGTTTCTTCCCACAAATCTCCCTCTCGCCTCACAGTGGGATGCCTTCTCCATCCCTGAACTTCAGAACTTCCTAACAATCCTGGAAAAAGAGGAGCAGGACAAAATCCAACAAGTGCAAAAGAAGTATGACAAGTTTAGGCAGAAACTGGAGGAGGCCTTAAGAGAATCCCAGGGCAAACCTGGGTAACCGGTCCTGCTTCCTCTCCTCCTGGTGCATTCAGATTTATTTGTATTATTAATTATTATTTTGCAACAGACACTTTTTCTCAGGACATCTCTGGCAGGTGCATTTGTGCCTGCCCAGCAGTTCCAGCTGTGGCAAAAGTCTCTTCCATGGACAAGTGTTTGCACGAGGGTTCAGCTGTGCCCGCCCCCAGGCTGTGCCCCACCACAGATTCTGCCAAGGATCAGAACTCATGTGAAACAAACAGCTGACGTCCTCTCTCGATCTGCAAGCCTTTCACCAACCAAATAGTTGCCTCTCTCGTCACCAAACTGGAACCTCACACCAGCCGGCAAAGGAAGGAAGAAAGGTTTTAGAGCTGTGTGTTCTTTCTCTGGCATTGATTCCTCTTTGAGTTCTCTTACTTGCCACGTACAGGACCATTATTTATGAGTGAAAAGTTGTAGCACATTCCTTTTGCAGGTCTGAGCTAAGCCCCTGAAAGCAGGGTAATGCTCATAAAAGGACTGTTCCCGCGGCCCCAAGGTGCCTGTTGTTCACACTTAAGGGAAGTTTATAAAGCTACTGGCCCCAGATGCTCAGGGTAAGGAGCACCAAAGCTGAGGCTGGCTCAGAGATCTCCAGAGAAGCTGCAGCCTGCCCTGGCCCTGGCTCTGGCCCTGGCCCACATTGCACATGGAAACCCAAAGGCATATATCTGCGTATGTGTGGTACTTAGTCACATCTTTGTCAACAAACTGTTCGTTTTTAAGTTACAAATTTGAATTTAATGTTGTCATCATCGTCATGTGTTTCCCCAAAGGGAAGCCAGTCATTGACCATTTAAAAAGTCTCCTGCTAAGTATGGAAATCAGACAGTAAGAGAAAGCCAAAAAGCAATGCAGAGAAAGGTGTCCAAGCTGTCTTCAGCCTTCCCCAGCTAAAGAGCAGAGGAGGGCCTGGGCTACTTGGGTTCCCCATCGGCCTCCAGCACTGCCTCCCTCCTCCCACTGCGACTCTGGGATCTCCAGGTGCTGCCCAAGGAGTTGCCTTGATTACAGAGAGGGGAGCCTCCAATTCGGCCAACTTGGAGTCCTTTCTGTTTTGAAGCATGGGCCAGACCCGGCACTGCGCTCGGAGAGCCGGTGGGCCTGGCCTCCCCGTCGACCTCAGTGCCTTTTTGTTTTCAGAGAGAAATAGGAGTAGGGCGAGTTTGCCTGAAGCTCTGCTGCTGGCTTCTCCTGCCAGGAAGTGAACAATGGCGGCGGTGTGGGAGACAAGGCCAGGAGAGCCCGCGTTCAGTATGGGTTGAGGGTCACAGACCTCCCTCCCATCTGGGTGCCTGAGTTTTGACTCCAATCAGTGATACCAGACCACATTGACAGGGAGGATCAAATTCCTGACTTACATTTGCACTGGCTTCTTGTTTAGGCTGAATCCTAAAATAAATTAGTCAAAAAATTCCAACAAGTAGCCAGGACTGCAGAGACACTCCAGTGCAGAGGGAGAAGGACTTGTAATTTTCAAAGCAGGGCTGGTTTTCCAACCCAGCCTCTGAGAAACCATTTCTTTGCTATCCTCTGCCTTCCCAAGTCCCTCTTGGGTCGGTTCAAGCCCAAGCTTGTTCGTGTAGCTTCAGAAGTTCCCTCTCTGACCCAGGCTGAGTCCATACTGCCCCTGATCCCAGAAGGAATGCTGACCCCTCGTCGTATGAACTGTGCATAGTCTCCAGAGCTTCAAAGGCAACACAAGCTCGCAACTCTAAGATTTTTTTAAACCACAAAAACCCTGGTTAGCCATCTCATGCTCAGCCTTATCACTTCCCTCCCTTTAGAAACTCTCTCCCTGCTGTATATTAAAGGGAGCAGGTGGAGAGTCATTTTCCTTCGTCCTGCATGTCTCTAACATTAATAGAAGGCATGGCTCCTGCTGCAACCGCTGTGAATGCTGCTGAGAACCTCCCTCTATGGGGATGGCTATTTTATTTTTGAGAAGGAAAAAAAAAGTCATGTATATATACACATAAAGGCATATAGCTATATATAAAGAGATAAGGGTGTTTATGAAATGAGAAAATTATTGGACAATTCAGACTTTACTAAAGCACAGTTAGACCCAAGGCCTATGCTGAGGTCTAAACCTCTGAAAAAAGTATAGTATCGAGTACCCGTTCCCTCCCAGAGGTGGGAGTAACTGCTGGTAGTGCCTTCTTTGGTTGTGTTGCTCAGTGTGTAAGTGTTTGTTTCCAGGATATTTTCTTTTTAAATGTCTTTCTTATATGGGTTTTAAAAAAAAGTAATAAAAGCCTGTTGCAAAAATGACTCATGTTAGAAACGTCTCCCTTGAACTTCACCATCTTACGGACACTGGGAGCGGGGGAGAGAGGGTGAGAATGGACATGATCACATGCTTCCTGGTGGAGTCAGATTTTCTTTTGCCAGTGAGCAGAGAAATGAAGGCTACTGTTCAAATAATTTGGGAAAAATTGTCCAAATGCGTAGGCGGGAGGGCGCTGCCTGGGTGACCAGCTGTTCCATGTCTCCGCAGTGCAAGAGAGTCAAGGAGACTGATTGCAGGCAGAGATGCTGATGTGTGGGAAAGAGAAGGGCCTTCTGGAGCTAAGGGTGATTTGACACCAGGACAGGCTACTGAGCTGAGCCATGATTCTTCTACTTCTGGAATTATTTAAAAATAAGGTAGAAAGGAATAGATCTTTAAAAGTTTAAGATCACTTCACCTGGAGGAAGGGGGCTAGATCAAATGACCAAAACAAACAGTCCTTTCACTTGAGTTCTCTGACTTTCATCAAAGGAACATCTCAGTAATCATGGAAATAACCACATTAAATTATTAAAAAGAAATTCTTGCTGCCTTCCAGTATTGATCACATAGAATGCAATACATGGGGCCCAAAGAATGAATGAATGTCCAACAAGCATCCTTAAAACTGCCCAAGAATGGGGCACATCTGTAACATTTTTGTTCATCTAAACCCCCAAGAAATGTATCTTTCAATGATTTTGCCAAAGTCCAAAAATGAAGCACTTTCTGCTTTTCATTGAATCTCATATGGTTACAGCATAGGGTTAATAAATTCAAAGTTGTACGTTTGACATTGATACAGATTATTTGACTTAGCACATAGGAAAAAGAACCTGTTACACAGTCTGGCTCTACTCTGCCTTTGAATATGTCCCTATGCTGTTCACAGGGGGAGAGGGAAGATGACTCAATGCAAATGTGTCACCGTTACTGGAAAAACCACTCAATGCACAGGTCTGGACAGCACTGTGTCATGGCAGAATTGTGGGTCAAACCACAATTAAGGGTAGATGTTCATTTTAGACCCAGCCCTACCACTTACTGGCTTTGTGTCTTCAGCAGAGATCAACAAGGCGGGACATGACCTTTCTTAGCCTCCACTCCCTTCAAGATCGTGCAAAACAAATCAAGTTTGTGAAAGAACTTTGCACAGTGCTATATTTTACTTGTATTCACATAAGGAACCATAGTTCATTACTACTATACAGATCATAATCCCTCAGATCAGACTCTGGCAGGCCAAAGGCTTTAACAGGATCCTGTTTAGGCTCAATTTCTGGAAATCCCTTTCCTAGTTTCATATGCTCATGCCGGTAGAGATAGGATTAGTGAAATTAAGGAGTTTACTCATGAGTAAAAAGGTCTATTCTGGGCCTGATAACAGACGGTAGGAGGCGCCACACACACATTTTCAAACCCATTCCTTTTTTCCTTTTCAAGCCTCAAACGGGCAATTTGTGGATATTGTGGATATTTTTAAGCCTTTCTTATCTCAGTTTGAGAAAAACTGAGAAGAGAAAGAAACAAGTAAACTGAAGTGCAACTGTCTCTTAATGGTAAAACCCAAAAACTCAGGGAATTTAGCCCAGTTCTCCCTCCTATTATACAAGGAGAGATCCAGTCAGTGAAATGATTCCATAAACTGAGCAGGGACCAGCGCAGTGGTTCTGCACTTTTCTGGCATCAAGTGATCCCTTTGGGAATTTGATGAAAGCATGGTCCATCTCTCAGGAAAATGATCGTACAAAATCTGTGCACCATTTCAGGGAGTTCATGGATCCTCTAAAGACCTATTAAAGACCCCTTCCATGACCTCCACGTTAAGAAGTTGGGGCTGAAGAGGGCATGTGTTGGATGAGACTCTTCACTGTAACAAAGCTGTCATCTTGGAGTTACATCACAAATTTACCAGTTAGTGGCAGTGTCCTAAAGTTGGGGAAGAATCACTGTCCTATAGAAACCCACGTCCTAATATGCCTGTATACTGTTTCTGATTTCTATCTAGCCTAAATTCTACTGCAATTTAGGGTCAATTCTTTCTTCTGTTGCTTTGATTGATGACAGAGAACAGCTGGGATCTGTTTTCTACGTGACTAACCCTTTAGAGATGTGAAGGAACTATTTTGGGGCTAGGAAGTTAATTAGGCAGTAGGATATTTGGTAGAAGGTCTTTAAAAAGAGGAAGGCCCCACCTGTCCGAACTCTGAATGGGCTGGCCTGCCTGGAAAGCAGGGAAGGAATGAAATCATTGAAACCACATGGACAGAATGGCAGCCACCGTGACCTCTTCTGTCCATTTAGAATACTCCCGACTTCAAAAATTAGTACATTTTAGCTAAGTGGAGGAAACAAGAGGGAAGTCAGATTTAGATTAGAATAAAAATTTATTTTTGTAAAGAATTATATTTTGTATTTGCAAAAGCTGAAAATGCTCATAAAAATTACCAGCCCAGAGCTTGGATTTCCACCGGATCCACCACGTGAGACAAAAGAGTCTGTCACTTCTTCTTGCCAGGTTTGAGGGCCTTTTCTAGACCTTGGATGTGTTTTCGAGGGAGCTGATACTCTTCTACAATCCAAAAAGCACACACTCCTCAGCGGAGCATGACCTTGCTCCCCGGCTGGCCCTCCACCAGTCCCCGTTGCCTCACAATGTCATTCCACCCAGCTCAAACTCAACTTCGGGACTGACCACTTACGCCTACACCTCACAGCTGATGTGTATATTTCTGAAATTTTCACACTGAGAGCTACTTTCTGGGTGTATTTCAGGCATTTATAATTTTTTCACGAGAGAGAATGTGTCTGTTCAGTCTGTGCTCCTCGCTCTTGCTCATAACATTTCTTCTCAGTACCTTGTATGGGGTTCTTCACATAAAGAGGCTCAACTCTAGAAGTTAACTGTCAGGTACTGCCATAGGCCATGGAATACATTTGCCTAAATGAGCACTTACTATCCGCCAGGCCCTGAGGATGAAAAAGGCAAGGTTTCTGGCTCATGCAGCTCAGTCTGGCAGGAGGTTCAGACATTAGAAAAAATTAGCCAAGCTGCAGACATTAACCGGAAATATAAACACAATTGGAAAGTGCTACATTAGCAATGTTTAAAATGCTAATTTAGGCTCAGGCCTCCCAGGACCCCTGGGCTGGGCCAGTGAGCCTCTGAGGTCAGGTGGGCTTGGGCGTGGGAGGGCATCTTAGGCAAGGGGATAGCCCAGGCGGAAGCACATGTGGGTGAACATGCAAGGAGAATCTGGAGAACTGCAAGGAGACCAGGACAGCTGGTGCCTGCAACATGGGTGTAGGAGCTGCCAGAGAGAGCCTGGCAGGGAAGGCTGGGGTCAGGCTGGGAGGGTCTTGTTTATTGAGCTTAGGAGTTAATTCTGAAGGCATTGAAGAGGCATACAAAGTTTTTTAGAAGGGAGTGATGTGATCATATTTGTTTAAGAAAGCTGACTCAGGCAGAGATGTGAAGGCTGGTTTGAAGTGAGGAAAAACGGGAGGCTGGGTTACCCAGAGTTAGTAGAAAGAACTTAGGCTTTAGGCCAGGCATGGTGGCTCAAGCCTGTAATCCTAGCACTTTGGGAGGCCGAGGCAGGCGGATCATCTGAGGTCAGGAGTTCAAGACTGGCTTGGTCAACATAGTGAAACCCCATATCTACTAAAAATACAAAAATTAGCTGGCCGTGGTGGCATGCGCCTATAATCCCAGCTACTCGGGAGGCTGAGGCAGGGGAATGACTGGAACCTGGAAGGTGGAGGCTGCAGTGAGTGCAGTGAGCCAAGATTGCGCCACTGCACTCCAGCCTGGGTGACAGAGCGAGATTCTGTTTCAAAAAAAAAAAAACTTAGACTCTGGAGTCTAAAAAAGTTTCGTGCCCAGCTATATCACTCAAGAGTCAGAGGATCTCAGGGCAAGGTACGGAACCTCTCTGGGCCTCAGTTTCCTCATCTGCAAAACAGATAACAGCTCTGCAGCATCATTATGATTAAGAGAGATGCCTGCAAAAACCCCAACAATGGGCCTAGCACAAAAGTTTGGGTGCTCGCCATATGTTTTATAGAAAGGGACCAACCAGGAAGAAAACTACTCTAATAGTGGAAGAGAAAACACTGAATTTGGAAGGAGCCAAAGGATCTGATTCAAACACTGGTTCCCTCTTCTCTAAATAGCTACTAAAAACTAAATGGAGAGAGAGAGAGAGAGAGAGCGAGAGAGAGAGAGAGAGAGAGTGTGTGTGTGTGTGTGTGTGTGTGTGTGTGTGTATTATGCAAGTTGAGTTGGCAGGAAGGTCTTTGCTGAGCTAGACCAATGCCTCCACTCTTCAGAGGGGATGCTCACCAAGCAATAGCCAGCCGAGGTGGTGGACCTGGTTTCCCTGGATCTGCACCTGAAGGCTGTCCTTGGCCCCAGGGGCAGGATTGACGGTGGTGCTAGCCTGGCATCGCTGCTGAAGGATGGCAGCCACTGAGTATGGGTCCAGACCATAGGCCTCCAAGTTCCGGACCACGGTCACCTGGGGGGACAGTGGGGACAGAGACTGACGGTGGTGACTGCATTCCCTTCCCTCCAGAGGGCCTTCCAGAGCCTCAGCAGCCTTCTGAGCCCCTGTGTTCTCTGATGGTTCACCATTCCTATAACCCTAGTACTTTTTAAATCCAAATCACTTATTTTTGTGCTTCTAAATTGATTCTGTCTACCCCATCCAATATATGTATTACATATTTAGAGGGACAGATACTCTCTGTATCACACAGAATGTCTACTTCTTTTTTAAGTTTTATTTGGAGAATTCAAAACATAAATGAAAGCAGAATAGTATATAAACCCACATGTACCTATCACCAGTTTCAACAATTACCAACTCATGGCCAACCTTGATTCATCTATACCCCTGTCTACTCCCCACTCCTCTATTACTTTAAAGCAAACCTCCCCAGACATCAGATCATTTCATCTATAAATATTTCAGTATGTATCTCCAAAAGACAAGGCTCATTTAAACATAAAAACAAAACCATCATCACACCTAAAAATAAAGTAACAAACAATAGCTCCTTAATATCAACAATCTAGTCAGCAACACATGCATTCTTCTGGTATTCAGCTTCACAAATGACAAGTATGTGACTTTGAGATAAAAAAGAAAAATGTTAGTGCTTTTAAAATATCACAATTCTCCCCCTTGTTGCTTTAAAACAAATTCTTTCTCATTCATGACTACAGATAGTAAAGTGTATTACTATCAGGGGTGTGTGGGGGATGACTGCTATCAATAAAGACTATAAAAGCTCCAACTAGCCTTACGCTTATCAATGAGCTCCAGACCCAGAAAATCTTAGAATCAATAAGACTTTAGAGGACGTATCTCTTCCAATTGCCCACCTGATGCATGAACCCCCAACTACATCCTCCCCTGACAAGTGCTCACCTAATTTTTGCTTGCAGACTCTCCAGAAAAAAATTCACTATTTTATGAAGCACCAATTTCAATTTTGGACAATTCTATTTGTCATTATTAACAGAAAATTAGTGTTTACATAAACTATATATATGAAAATTATTTAGTTCAGTGTCTGGCACATAATTAAACACTCAATAAATAGTGACTGTTACTAATTATTGTAAAGATTATCATTACTGGTTCTCAATTATTGAGAACCAAGTATTTATATGCCAAGTACATTCTAAGTGCTTCAGCCATGTATACGCCTTCATTTGATCCTCACAATGCCTTACCAGGTAGGTATTATCCCCATTTTTCACAGAGTAAAACTCAGACAAAAAGAAATGAAGTAACATGCTCAAGGTCAGGCAGTGAGGCAACGGCTGCATTTGAACCCAGTACTATCCAAAGCCCACGCTCGTAACTGTACACTACTACAAAGTTCTTGAGTCTTTACAAAGACAGACTCAAGTCTGCCTTCTTGGCATTTCCACCCAATAATCCTATTTCTGTCCTTTCAAGGCATATAGAATAAGTGCCCTACTTTGCCAGGGGACAGCTTTGCACATATTTGAGGAGAGATGTCATTGGTTCCCCACAATTTTGTGTTGCCAAGCTAAACACACTCAGTTCCTTCAGCAAGTTTTTTACAAGTTATTTTCATTGAGCAAGGCCTAAGAGGTGAAAGAATATGTGGGAGCTGAATGTCCATAACATAGTTCTAAGAAAAAAATGAAAATACAATCTTGTTTACTTTTGGAACCAGGCTCTAGCAAGTTTCCTAGAACAAAATCCTAGAGGGCAGTGAGTGAGCGGGGTCAGCTTTACCTGTTTCATACAGAGCCCAGCCCAGGCACATAAACACGGGTGTTTCATAAAAAAATCTTTGATGAGTTTGAGGCCAATCTAAAAACCTCCAATCACATTAGGGAGACCAGAACTTGGCAAGAACATTAAATCACTATCCTTGAACATTGTGTCTTTCTAAAATTACCTTTTTATTAGACGCTCTTTGTGCTAGGGTGATGTCAATTGGACAGATTCTCCCTTTCTTCACAATGGGCTCTTGTCCGGGAAGGGTCACTTGATAGGCAGGCTGTAATTTTTCCAAACACCTGAAACAGAAGTTATGAGTTGCAAACTGATAAAGCCAACAGAAACCATTTCCTCATACCCCACTACCAGCAGGCAGTTAGGTGTAGGCTGAAATTGCAGGTCCACAACCTTGGCTGCACATTAGAATCATTCAAATCCCTAGGGAGCTACAGCCCAGATCAATGAAATCTGTATCTCTGACTAGGGCTATGTATTTTTTAAAGCTCCCTAAAATGCGGCCAAGGTAGACACCCACTGATTCAAAGATGGGAACATCAGTGACTTAGGCCCCTGGAAACGGTCCACTGACCTGGCCTTTTGAGAATCTGCCCAGTCTGCCCTGTGGAGGCTACTACCTGTCTCAAGAATGTGCCTTAAGTGGCCCATTGCCTGCGAGTGCTGCTTCACATTTCTGACATGTTTTATAGAGAACTTTTACCACGAGGAGTTTCTACCTTTTATCTAACCAAGTTTTCTCTTGCTATCACATATATCAGGATCAACAACTTTTTCTATAAAGGGCTAGACAGTAAATATTTTTGGTTTTGCCAGTCACCTGGTCTCTTACAACTACTCAGTTCTGCCATTATAGCATAAAACCAGCGCACAGACAACACATAAATGGATATGGTTGTGTTCCAACAAAACTTTATTTACAAAAACAGGTGGCAGGCCAGATTTGACCCATGGGCTGTAGTTTGCTGACTCCTGACAATAAACTATTTTCAGTTATGTGGAAAAGAAGGAATATTAAAAATTTTTCCTTTAAAGACTTTAAGACACTTTTCCCCAGCCTTCTTTTGCTTCTGCATCTTATTGAAGTTTTATTTTATTTTTTCTTATTTTTTTAAATGCCCTCACTTTAACAGAGTAAGTTCTTTTTTTGAGACAGGGTCTCACCTTGTCACCCAGGCTGGGGTGCAGTGACATGAAAATGGCTCAATGCAGCCTCCACCTCCTGGGCCCAAGCAATCCTACCGCCTCCGCCTCCCAAAGTGCTGGGACTACAGGCATGCACCACTATGCCTGCCTGAAGTTCTTATTTTTAATTAATGTTCCTTTTTGTTCTTCCTTTCAAGCTCTCCCATGTCATATTGGCTCAAATTGTTCCAAAGACCCCCCAAATCAGAGTTCCTCAAGCCTGTGTTTATGTAGACTGACTTGGTATGAATTACAGAAAGAAAATCAAAGGCTAAGATAGTGACAGTATTAAAGTTCAATGTGATCAACATTAAGGCGAGGGGATAGAAAAGTTGGAGAGGGACTGCCAATGCTCGTTACCTGGTCAGAAGACTGTCCCATGGAAGCTTCATGACTGTATGCTGTTCATTTTTCTCTAAGATGCAGTCACATAGGATGGGATCCAATCTCACAAGACTAAAGGGAAAGAAGAGGCAATGAAGAAATCCTAGACTTGTCCCTTCTGACCTGAAGGCTAATTCAGGATTCATCTCTCGTACGGCCTTTATAGACATTCAGGATATGAATCAATTATGGGCCCACAGTCCAAAAGGCAATGTACCTTATGGGTGGGAGATACACGAATGCTTTCCTAGGAAAAGCAGGAGGTGGAAGGGAAAGTGAGATGGGATAAATTTGAAGATCAGGAGCCTTTGCTACTAACTAAGCATGTGACCACAGCTTTCTAAGCTTAGCATCAAAATTGGCTAGTGAGGAAGAAAGAAAGGAAGTGGGGATCTTTAAAATGAAGGTGTTGGCCAGGTGCAGTGGCTCACGCCTGTAATCCCAGCACTTTGGGAGGCTGAGGCGGGAGGATCACCTGAGGTCAAAAGTTCAAGACCAGCCTGGCCAACATGGTAAAACCCCATCTCTACTAAAAATAGGGCCGGGCGCAGTGGCCCACGCCTGTAATCCCAGCACTTTGGGACGCCGAGATGGGTGGATCACTTGAGGTCAGGAGTTCAAGACTAGCCTGGCCAACATGGTGAAACCCCGTCTCTACTAAAAATACAAAAATTAGCCGGGCATGGTGGCGCATCCCTGTAATTCCAGCTACTTGGGAGGCTGAGGCAGGAGAATCGCTTGAACCTGGGAGGCAGAGGTTGCAGTGAGCACAGATTGTACCATTGCACTCCAGCCTGGGCAACAAGAGCAAAACTCTGTCTCAAAAATAAAAATAAAACATAAAATAAAATGAAGGTATTAGATTAGGCTGGTATGTCTCAACTTTTTTATCATGATGATGTTTTTTTAAAGTGAAAAAAAAATTTTTTTTTGAGATGGGGTTTCACTGTATCACCCAGGTTGCAGTGCAGTGGCATCATCATTGCTCACTGCAGCCTCAACCTCTTGGGCTCAAGCGATCCTCCCACCTCAACCTCCCAAGTGGCTGAGACTACAGGCATGCCCTACCATGCCCGGCTAATTTTTGTATTTTTTGTAGCGACAGGGTTTCATCATGCTGCTCAGGTGGGTCTCAAACCCCTGGCCTCAAGCAATCCTCCCACCTCAACCTACAAAAATGTTGGGATTACAGACATAAGCCACAGTGTCCGGCCATTAAAGTAAAAAACAATTAATGGAACTCTCTTCATCTGGTAGTTTACCATCTGTATCTCCTTTTAAGAAAATAATACCATAATGGGTACAAATATACAGTTAGATAGAAGAAATAAGTTTAGTCTTTGAGAGCAGAGTAAGGTGACTGTAGTTAACAACAATGTATTGTGTATGTCAAAATAGCTAGAAAAGAGGACTTACAGTGTTCCCGACACATAGAAATGGTAAATACTCAAGGTGATGATACCCCAAATACCCTGCCTTGATCGTTATACACTCTGTGCATGTAACAAAATACCATGCACCCCATAAATATGTACAAATATCTATCAATAAAAATAAATACCTAAAGCTATGATGACTTCAGTAAATTCTTTGTAAGCTTGCATTTTATTCCTCACAATAGCCAATTAAAGATGATTCATGGGTATTTGTGAGAGAATATTTACTTAGTCGGTAGTCAATGTTGATCGTATACATGGATCTGAACACCCCAGACAATAACTGAGTGTCCACAGCCCATGGTTTGGAAACCACTGATCTTAATTACCTCTAAGATGCTATGGTTTTCTATTCTCCCTCCCAGACATCCTCCCCAAATGTGTCTATGTCTGATAAAGACAAAGACCCAATAAGACAGATCTGGTGCTTCTCATGCACTCACTTTTTGTTGTCTGCATCAACCAGGTCATTTTTCTTGGCGTAGTTAATGACGATCGTTCGGACCTCACTGCCCTCCAGAAAGCTCCCCTTCCTAGGTGAGGAGAAGTGACCCAGGGGTTAGTTCATGCTGTGCCATGAGACAAAAATGCAGATGCCCAGACTCACTCCCTGCTGAGCAGGGAACTTTCCTTAGCTTTCGGCCTCTAGTTTCTTCCCTTTTCCTGACTGAAGTGAGCATGACCATGTGAAGAATAATTACACGCAGAAAAGGGTGAGACCTACTCGTTCATTTAGTCCAGAGGAACTTGCCCAGGGAAGAAGGCTGGAAGCTGGATTTTGGAGAAGGGGAGAACAGGGGCAGAGCAGGTTTTGCCAGTCGCAAAAGAGCACTACTCAGGTTGAGAGGAACTGTAGGCCAGAACACCAAGCAGGCAGAGAAGGGCTGCTCTCCAAAAACTCACTTGTGGCCAGACTCCTGGAAGAGCAGGGTCATGCTGGCTGGGACACAGTAGAGGGGTTTTATATCTGGAGGGTGATAGGGCTGTTCCCTGCTACCCTCCTGGATAGTCTGGGAGGTCGGGGAGGGCTCGGGTATGACGAAAGATGTAATCCTAAAACCCAGCAGAAGGAAAGAAAAAACACATTTTATACTAGCATCTCAGCAATCCCCAGTCCGTGGCCCAGGTGCCCTGGGGCCAGCTGGGCTACAGTGACAGGCCCCCTGCACTCACCTCGGGTGTTTCCAGTCCACAGCCACAATGCTCTCCACCCCTTTGCTCAGCTCCTTCACCTGTATAATCTGCTCCTGCTGCATTTGCTGCAGGAACTTAGAGAGCTAAGGGAGAGAGGGCCAGTGGTAGGGGACTTCATTGATTCCACACACATACTGAGCACCCAGGATGTGCCAGAGTGAGCTAGGCAGGGACTGTGCAGGGATATGAGACAGCCCCTGCCTTCATCAACCAGGAACTGGGAGGCCCCCAACCTGAGGGCCAGGGAGCAAGAAGCTGCTAGAGACTAACCAGTGAGGCCGTTCAGAACTCTAATCAGATATAAAGGGGTCAAAGGAGAAAGGAAAGTGGGTGCCACCAACTGCTTCAGCCCAGGGAGAGTTTCTTTCTTCCCCCTTATACTTGGAGTCAAAAAGCTTAATTCTAGACTGAGCCTGGTAGACAAGGCTTCCCCAGCATCCATCTGGCTTATGTCATATGTGCCCCTACACAACTCTCTGCATGGGTCTGCAAAGAAGATCCTTGCTTACCTTTTTGTAGCTTGACTTCTTTATGTCCAGTTGTCGTCCTTCGGGGCTGATGGCAGATGGAAAAGGCAAATTAAACTAATGAGCAGTCATACTGGGACCTGCCTGACACTGAGAGGAGGGCCTTTTTCCTCAGCCTTCCTCCCCCACCTTCAGAGAGAGGCCACTGTGCCAGAACTCTCTGCCCAGGGATGACAGCAGAGAGGGATGCAGACTATGGGACATTCTAAATCAGTGCTGTTCAAGAGAACTTTCCATAGACGTGGAATGTTCTCTGTGTTGTCTAACAGGGCAGCCATTAGCCACATGTGGGTAGTAAGTACTTGAAGTGTGACTAATGTGACCAAGGGAACTGAATTTTAAATTTTATTTACTTTAAATTAATTTAAACTGAAAATAGCGACATGTGGCCAGTGGCTACCACATTGGATACAGCCTTAGATTCCTCCCAGACCAGACAACCTTCTGTGGCCTCCAAAGTTGCAACAGCAAACTCACACTGTGGGCAGCCAGGCCTGGAGTGGGGCCCAGCAAGCCGCATCCTGGGGTCAGGTCTGGCCAACTAATTATCTACTGTCTATGGTCACATTAGTGCTACAATGGCAGCATCGAGCAGTTGCAACAGAGATGGTGTGGCCTGCAAAACTGAAAATATTCATATTTACTATCTGGCCCTTTACAGAAAAACATGCTGACCCCTGCACTACAGCAATTAGTTTTGGAGAGAACATTCCTGATAAAAGCTTACATCTTCTCTCAAAACATGACACGCAATAGCAGTGGATTCTCGAGGAGTCCTTCTAGAATCCACCCCAGAATCCTATCCTACAGAATATTCTGGGGCCCCTTTACCATATATTTGCAACCCAAGAAAGTCAGAACAGATTACCAAGTATCCCTCCACACACTCCAGACACCACATTTGTACAGGATAGCTTAAAGACACCCAAGTATAAATGGGAAGACATTACATTAAGAATCACTTTTTTAAAAAACCACAGCCAGATTCTCAAAAAGAAATAAATTCAGGCCGGACACAGTGGCTCACGCCTGTAATCCCAGCACTACGGGAGGCCGAGGCAGGCGGATCACTTGAGGTTAGGAGTTCAAAACCAGCCTGGGCAACATGGTGATACCCCATCTTTACTAAAAATACAAAAATTAGCTGCACATGGTGGCATGTGCCTGTAATCCCAGCTACTCGGGAAGGCTGAGGCAGGAGAATCTCTTGAACCTGGGAGGCAGGGGTTGCAGTGAGCCGAGATCACGCCACTGTACTCCAGCCTGGGTGACAGAGTGAAACTGTGTCTCAAAACAAAAAATAAATAAATAAATAAATTCAATCTCAGGGTAAAAATCAATAAGCAAACCTCCTGACATGATAGTATTTACTGAATGCTTATTATGGTTCAGGCTATGTAATCTTTACAGCAATCCCATGATTATTAGAAATTAGGACTCAGAGAAGCCCAGTAACAAGCTAAAATGCACATTGCTTGAACACCCTGGAGACCTAGCAGTTGAGTACAGACAGCTCTGTCTTCAAAATCCAGGTTCTATCCACACGCAATAATACCACTCCTGATGGCTTGTGTTTTGGATGGGGTGGGCCGGGACGGGGGGTGTTCACACCAATTCTTCCTCCTAATAAAACCTAATGTGGCCCCCCACATACTTTTCAGAAGTGTGAGGAGGTTGAATGTTCCAGAAGAAGATTCCTGACAAAGAGGCTGCCCTGGGACACTTCCTGCAGAGGACACGCTGCCCGATTTGTGAGGTTGCCCAGAACCCCCACGGCAGAGGCAGTGTTCACAGAATCTCAGGAATTTTAACTTTCCGGTCCTCAATATCCTTTCATTGGCTAAAATTTAAGATTTTGTTTTAACAGCCCAGCAAGCTAAGAATTAACTTTTTAGAACCCAGGAACTAATGTATTTGTCAGATAAGCCTTCCCTCCACTCTTTCCACAGCATGTCCCTCAACCAGTCCCTGCATTGGCCCCATCCTGTCCTACTACCAAGGAGCACACGTGAGACCCCGGCCCCGGCCTCCAGCCCACATCAGTGCTTTCCATACCAGCAGGAGAACATGTGGCTGCCAAGGAAAGTGCTGGTGAGTAAAGGGAGGTCAGCCTTTTTGACTCGGCACTTCAAGGCATGTAAGAAGCATTGCTGTAACAGCTCATCCATTTGTTCTGCAGGGAAAAGACAAGAGCCACATCCTTCCTGAGGGATACAGAACACCTGGTACAAGAAAACGACCCCCAGCTTCATCCCTACCTCACCCACTTGGCTCTGAAAGGAACCCATTCCCAGGTACCAAAGCTCCCAGCCTCTCTTGAGCACTGAGCCTTTAAAGAGGGTTGACCCCAGAGAAGGAGTCAAGCCACAAAGTCCCACCAAGCTAGGAGTGTTCACCCAGAGAAGTTGAGCCAGAAGAAACCTTGGAGGGCTTTGTAGCTGAAGACAGGCAAATGCCAGGGCAGATTAGCTCCCAGGAAGACGTGACTTATGTGGAAAGGATTCAAAAACAAGATGTGAAAGGGCTGCTGCGCCACCCTCACAGAAAATAAGGACCTTCCCCTCCTCCCCCGGAAGCTTAAGGGCCATTCTAGTCAGCAGTGGAGTGGAGTTCGTCAGGCTCCTAAATTGAGAGGTGGGGAGATGGGCTCTTCTCCTCCTAGAGTTATACCTTGAAGCGTTTTGCTATCTGTGGAGTCTTGGTTCAGGCCCCTGGTGCTGGTGTCTTCTGGGGCTTCTGAGAGAGACTTGTCTTCACGTGCCTGGTGAACCTCCCCATTCTCCTCTTCCCCCTCCAGGGTCATGTGCCTCATGTCTCCCTGCAGGGTGGAGTCCATCTGGACAGACCCCTTCTCTTCACTGAGATCTGCTGAATCCAGGGCCAGTGGAGCAATGGAAGGTGGAGAGGACTTGTTTCCAGACCGCCTGGAAAAATCTCATGTCAGAAACATCAAGCAGCAGCTCCAATACTCTCCAGCCCTGGCCACAGAGGAGTCAGCAGTGAGGTCAGAGACAGCAGAGAGCCAACAGGCAGGAGTGGCCAGGAGGGGGCAGAGAGCCTGTGCCCTCATCTCAAGCGTACTTTCAATTCTGGGCCCCTAAAAGTTCCATGCCTCAGTTTCTTCATCTCTGAAATGGGGAGAATAAATCTTGTCTCCTCCCTATCCCAAAAGAATAATACTATTAATAGACATCCCAAGACTGAGAAAGATTAAAGAAAAAGGAGTTTAAGATAAACTCCCAAAAATGTTCCCTTCATCTGAGTTAATAACAAAACCAATTTGAATTAAATATGAACATTAAGATCGCGAATGCATCTGTAATATCTGTTTGGTGAAATGCAAACCCACGGCTCAGCATATGTAATAAAACACAAACACCTGGACTGCTCAAGGACTGCAAAATCAGTGGCTTCTGTGTTACATCAAATGCAGTCTAACGTGGAAAGCAGAGATTGCCATGGTTTTATGCCACTAAGCCTTAGGAAGACAGGAAAACAGGCGATGCCACATAGCAAAGCACACAAAGCAGTAAAAAACTTTATCTTAGCCAACATTATGCAAATCAAACTAAGTTTTAACTAATAGTTACGGCAAGGCTTCTCAGTGTTGTTCACAGTAAAGCCAAAGGGTATGTTTAGGCTATTCTGATCAGGTAAATACCATAAATATTTTTTTCAAGGTGCAGCGAGAGAACCAAAGCAGCTGCTGCTAAAACAACTTAGACAACCTGACCTTGATTGCTGTTGCCCAGACTGATAGTTAAACAACAAGGTGCTAGGAGAACATCAGTCATCAGCCCTCAAATATCTAAAAACAGGCAAAAATGAGCTTGTACCAGCAAAGGAGGACTTGGCAAGTACTTGTAAAATCAGTAAGTCCGGCGGGGAGCGGTGGCTCACGCCTGTAATCTCAGCACTTTGGGAGGCCTAGATGGGCAGATCACGTGAGGTTAGGAGTTCGAGACTAGCCTGGCCAACACGGTGAAACCCTGTCTCTACTAAAAACAAAAAAATTAGCCGGATGTTTTGGGCACAAGCCTGTAATCCCAGCTACTCGGGAGGCTGAGGTAGGAGAATCACTTGAACCGAGAGGCAGAGGTTGCAGTGAGCTGAGATTGCGCCACTGCACTCCAGCCTGGGCAACAAGAGCAAAACTCCATCTCAAAAAAAAAGGCTGGGCGCAGTGGCTCACACCTGTAATCCCAGCACTTTGGGAGGCCGAGGTGGGTGGATCACAAGGTCAATGGATCGAGACCATCCTGGCTAACATGGTGAAACCCCGTCTCTACTAAAAATACAAAAAATTAGCCGGGCGTGGTGGGAGGTACCTGTGGTCCCAGCTACTCAGGAGGCTGAGGCAGGAGAATGGAGTGAACCGGGAGGTGGAGCTTGCAGTGAGCTGAGATCACGCCACTGCACTCCAACCTGGGCGACAGAGCGAGACTCCATCTCAAAAAAAAAAAAAAAAAAAATTAATAATTCCAAGACTGGGCTGGAAAATATAAGAATGAATCTATACCAACAGGCCACAATACTTGGCTAAATGTGTGCTTTGAGAAAATCACTGCTTACTGTTTTGCTAAAATGACAAGAAAATAACCAGAAAATGAACAGGTACGCGTCTCAAGAATGCAACCTTTACAGTCAGAATGCGTTACTTTCATGAGGAGGAGGAGTCTGGAATGTGAAATCTGAATAACATAAAAGTAATCAGGTTATAATCCTGGAGTCTAAAGGTCTACCCTGCAGTGATTAGGATTCAGAAGCACTCATCATGGGGTCACATGATGTCTAAAATGTGCATCGCAGCTAGGGCCAGATTGACCAGGGCTATAAAAAAACGAGTATCACTGTACTGAGAGGCAGAGCAGATGATCCCTAAGGTCTTCCTTTGGGTCTAAGATTCTATAATTCACTTAGAAAATAAAGTTCTCTCTCATTACTTGTCCAAACAGGGGAAAAAAATATTTTCTTTATATTTGTAAGGAAATAAAAGTCTGGGCTTAGCAACTTGCTTAAAGACATGGCTAGGACCAAAACTCTCACTCCTGAATCACAGGCCCCATCCTCTCCCCAGCTGCCCCGGTTCTCTGTAAAACAGAAGAAACTCTGTACCCACCACAAGTGGTCCTGGTAAGTGTGGAGCACAGAGAAGCCCCTTCCCTTCAGGCCTGACGTGAGCATCTCAGCTGTGGACATGGCTGCAACTCCAATGGCTACAGGGGCTCTAAGAAGAAGGAAGCCAGAGACCAGGGTCATGGAAAATCTATGGGAAGGGCACATGTTAGGATCATCTTCTGACACATGTGGTAAAAATACCAAGGTTACCAATTCGAAGGTCTTGTATCATAAAACCAAACTCAGTCCACTCTCAGTTTTCTTCAGATTATGTACAAATATTACTTTCAAAAATCCCTTGACCAAATATTAAACTAAACACTAAACTTCTGTATTAGTAACTCCTCTATTGACTTTATCACTGCCTTTGTTTTATTCCTGCTGTGAATTAAATCTCCAGGTGGGTCTTGGAAGGATATTTAATGTTCCCTTTCATTAATTTCAAAAATATAAATTATCTCCTCTACCTTAAAGAAGTCATAGCCATCCCATAAGGAAGTTTAAAGGGGAGGCAATTCATATATCATAAATTAGGCTGAGGGATGCCATAGGGAAGAGAGAAGAGACACATAGTGGGGCCAACTAGAGAAGTTCCTTCTAAGTTGACTTTATAAGAGGGGTTGCTCAGTGTAACTATATATCTAAGAACTGGATGTTTCCAGGATATCAAAAACAACCACATATATAGTAACTACAGAAACTTCCAAAGCCCAGATGAGAAATCTCTGCCAGCCCAGTGTTACTCAAGCATTGATCAATCAGATATTGCCTGTAAGGATAGGTGACTAGCTGGATAACAGTGGGGGAATAATACATAAGCCTGGCAAGGTAGCCAGGGTCCAAGTGAGAGTTCCCAATACTTGAACTTGCTTTAAACCTGGTAGCTCTGCTAACTGTACCTATAGGTCAGTTCCTGCCACAAAATCTGAAACTGGCTTCTTTCCCAGTTCTTAAAAGAAGGTTTTTCTCATCTACCCCTGAAAGGTCAATGGCTTGAGAACTCCAGTCTTGAACATGACTTGTATTTTTAACAACCCCTCATATCATTACCCCCACCACAAACCATCCATAGCTCCACCCCCATATACACTCTAAAGGCTAAAGTGAACAGGCCAAATATCCATTTACATAGTTTCCTCCTATCTCAGATAGAATACTGGGGGAGAAAAACGGTAACACCATCATTCTTTTCAACTGTAATTTCTGCTACAGGTAAACAGAAGTTTCTAGGTGCTTGGTTCCAAAGCGTTCAAGGAAAATAGAATAATATGAGTAGCAAAAATAAGATCTTTGAACACTGACCCCTCCCATGCCTACCATCGCTCTTTCCTTCTCTCTCAAAGAAGAAATTATCAAAATAATGAGTCCACCTTGGTCATCTCCATGAAAAAAAATAGTAAGATGTAATTTTTCACTCACTAGGATAACACAAATGAAGATGACCTATCATATCCAGTATTGGTGAGAGTATAGGGAAATAGGCTCCATATATGCTGCAGGTAGGTGTAAAAACTGATACAGCTTGTTTGTAGGAAAACAGAAAATACACATGATCTTCAACCTAACAATTCTGCATTTTAGTATCTACTCTGGAAAAATACTAGCAACAGTGTCCCTAGAGGCATCAATAAGATAACGTTTGTAATAGAGACAAATTGGAGGCAACCTCAATGTCCACCAGGAGAGGGCCTCTTCCATCACCACACAACAGGTAAAAAGGTTTGGCAGATCTGTGTGTTCTTATTTAACACACAGTTAAAGTTAAATGTGTATTGTTAGTATTTAAATGTCCGCATAAAAATAAAAAAGAAAAATTAAAAAAAGAAAACGTCCACACTATATTAAGTGAAAAAATAACACATACACAGTATAATTTTGTTTGAATTTTTAAACACACATACCCTAAGCCATGTATTTTTATACGCACATGTATATATGTGTAGGACAATGACAAGAAGGACACACATCAAAATGATAATGGTTATTTCTAGGAGAAAAAGATTGTGGGGTAAGGGAGGCTTTTAATTTTTCAGAGCTGTTCATACAATTACTTCTTATTTTTAAAAAGAAGCATTGGAGGCTAGACGTAGTGGCTCATGCCTGTGATCCCAACTCTTTGCGAGGCCAAGGCAGGAGTATCGCTTGAAGCCAACAATCTGAGACCAGCCTGAGCAACAGAGTGAGATCCTGTCTGTATGTAAACTGTATCTCAATAAAGCTATCAAAAATAATTAAAAGATGAGGATAATGATATGCATATAGGGAAAAAGCATGAGGGTGATGAAAGACAACAACAACAAAAAAACAAAAAAGGTCACAAACAGGAGACTAAGGAGACATGACAACTAAATGGAATTTGGTATTTTACATTGGATACGTGAAGAGAAAGAAGATATCAGTGAAAAAACTGGGGAAATATGAATAAAGTCTGTAGTTTAGTTAGCAGTACTTTGCCAATGTTAATTTCTTAGTTGTAATAATCTATATTGTGGTTATGTAAGAGGCTACCATTAGAGGAAGCTGGGTAATGAGCATTTCAGAACTCTACTATCTTTGCAACTCTTCTGTAAATCTAAAAAATAAAATAAAATAAAATAAAATAAAAATGCTAAGTTGAAAGAAAACAGAGCAGCAACAGCAAACAGCAAATACACTCTGCCCAGGCACATGGATTCCCCATAGGTTTGCTGCCATTCTCCTGCTGGCCCACTCTGCTTCTTCCAAAACCGATTTTTGCTTTCACTCTTTTGTTCATATGCTTTATAAGTTGTCATTCCCCTCCAACTTCTCTTTTACACAAGTTTTTCCCCCAAAGGCACAGTTGCCTGGCACAGTACCTGTTCCCCACCAAAGAAATGGCACAGAGGTCGCCCTTCTGTACCTGAGGCAGACCAGCAGGGGGCATCACCAGTCCAGGCAGCATCAAATCTGCAATGAACAAAAAAAATCACAACCTGCATTCAGCCTCCATCTCACTCTGCGTTTTACTTCATCATTTCCTCACTCGCTCAACAAAAAAATAGTTACTAGGTATCAACTATGTTTTTCATAATAAAAATGAAAAATGGCAACTTCCAACAAAAAAATAGTTATTAGTTATCAACTATGTTATTCATAATAAAAATGAAAAATGGCAACTTCAGTATCAGACCTTCTCCCCTTAGGGGGCTAAAGGTCAAACAGAGTTTGAGTGTCCTGGCCGGGCGCAGTGCCTTATGCCTGTGGCTTACGCTTTTTATGACCCCTTCACCCATCCAATAGCAGGACATTTATTTTTATTCAAATGGTGGTTTCTAAGCCAGAAGTGGGAACCTTGACTTCCACTCCAGACTCAGCTCCTAACATTCTTCTGGCATAAAAGAGCTACTCTTAGCCAGGTGCGGTGGCTCACGCCTGTAATCCCAGCACTCTGGGAGGCCAAGGCGGGCAGTTGACTTGAGGTCAGAAGTTCGAGACCAGCCTGGCCAACATGATGAAACCCTGTCTCTACTAAAAATACAAAAATTAGCCAGGCGTGGTGATGCACACCTGTAATCCCAGTTACTCGGGAGGCTGAGGCAGGAGAATCACTTGAACCTGGGAGGCAGAGGTTGTAGTGAGCCGAGATCATGCCACTGCACTCCAGCCTGAGCAACAGAGTGAGACTCCATCTCAAAAAAAAAAAAATAAAAAAAGTTTGAGTAGCCTATAACATGATCTGTCTTGTCCTAGTTTCCTAAATTCAGCTTATTGATTTACAGTATAGCACATGGTGGTTCATAAAATACTTTCACAACACTTATTTAAGCCTTACAACAGGGCCAGAGGGGCCCAGAGATCTTGTGTGGAACCAGCCAAGTGAGAAACATAAAACACATAGGGGAAAAAATTCCATTTTTCAACCACAAAAACACAGGAAATGGGTAAGTTTATTACATCAGTTGGCTTTTGCTAAGTAGGTTTCAGCCAATAGCCAGAATATAGGAGAATCCTCTTACCTGCTCCCCCTACCAGTTTCTCGAGCACCAGAGGCCATGTTGTAAAGGTTGGCAGAAGATCAGGATAGGACCACAGCGTGTACACTGTACAAAAAGAGATCCAGAAAACACTACTACCAAAAAGCCAATCTTCTAGAGAAATGGAAAAACCTAACACTATGGTCACTTTAATTAGAATACAGGAAAGAAACTCAACTCAAAGCTAAAGAGAAGGTTGTAAGGGGATGCCCAGAGAGGTTTCATTTTTGAGGAAGGAAAAAACCTAAGAAACTGAGTGTCACTTGAGATTTGGAGGCATCCGGATTGCAGCAGCAGAAAATGGTCACAGTGGACAAAAAAGTGAGGGCAGAGAACCAATGAAGCTTTTATTTACGGCTTCAGAAGCAAGTAGCCTAAGAACAGGAAGCCAGCTGTATAAAATTTGGAAACTTTCCCATGTTTATCATTTTTATCCCCTCTGTTTCCATAGTGATTAGCAGCAAAAACCCCTAGGTCAAAAAGCATTGTGGTTGTCTTCAGGTACAGCAAGGAAGTGAGATCAGGGGCAGGAGTGGCCTAAGGATATTGCATTGCACTATTGCAGACAACCCTGGAGGATGAAAAGCCCCAAGTTACAAAGTAGGTGTCAGCAGCTATGGAAAAGAGAAAAGGAGACTGAGTCCCTGAGATTTGTGACAGAGAAGGCAAAGAATCCTAGAGAGCCACTCATAGCCTAAAAAATCCCTGTGAGACCTATGGTTAAAGTACACCATGAAAACAGCTGGATATGTAGCTTATCAATCCAGCTTTATTCCTATCACAGTATATCTTTTCAGTATTTTAGGAAAATCCTGCTACAGATAGTTTTAAGAAACATTTTTTAGGCTGGGCACCCTGCTCATGCCTGTAATCCCAACACTTCGGGAGACTGAGGCAGGAAAATCACTTGAGCTCAAGAGTTCAAGACCAGCCCGAGCAACATAGTGAGACCTTGTCTCTACCAAAAATTTTAAACGTAGCCAGACATGGTGGCATATGCCTGTAGTCCCAGCTACACAGGAGGCTGAGGTGGGAGGATCCCTTAAGCACAGGAGGTTGAGGTTACAGTTAGCTACGATCACACCACTGCACTTCAGCCTGGGTGACAGAGTAAGACCTTGTCTCTAAAAAATATATATATTTTTGGCCAGGCGCGGTGGCTCACGTCTGTAATTCCAGCACTTTGGGAGGCCGAGGCGGGCGGATCATGAGGTCAGGAGATCAAGATCATCCTGGCTAACATGGTGAAATCCCGTCTCTACTAAAAAATGCAAAAAATTAGCAAGGTGTGGTGGCGGGTGCCTGTAGTTCCTGCTACTCGGGAGGCTGAGGCAAGAGAATGGTGTGAACCCAGGAGGCGGAGCTTGCAGTGAGCTGAGATTGCGCCACTGCACTCCAGCCTGGGCAACAGAGCAAGACTCTGTCTCATGAAGACATGCCCTGAAATTCCATCCTTTTCAAGACCTCTGCTCTATTCCTAGTCAACCCACTGTAAACTTCTCAGCCACTGTTCCTTCATCTCAGAACTTCCCTTTGCAACCACCCTTACTTACTATGTCAGCCCTTTTTTTAATCCCTCCTATAGTGGTTTTGCATAAGAGAAAACCTTTTGCATCCTAGAATTGAAAGACCCAATTCTAGGAACACCAGGTCCATAAAGATCCTTGGGGATGGTATTGGGAGATTTCGTGCTTGCTTATTTTATGGGAGACAATGGAAGAAACAGAGAGAAGCAGATGTTAGGCAAGAACTACCTAATGGTAATGGCCATCTTCGTCCTGTTGTCATACCTGTTGGATACAGATTTTTCTCCAGTTCAAAGAGGATGGGGTTACCACCACTCACGTACACAGTCACTGCATCCCCTTTGTGAGCATACAACTTCACAATGTTGAGCTCCTCCTTTCCAGGTACTAACTCAGAGACTTGATCAGTTCCAAGGGTGGGGAAAGCAGTTGTCACATCAGCTCGAAGCTTTCTCCTGTGGAAAGCACACCAGCACTGTGAATGCTGCCTGGACAGACTTTTAATAAATATCAAGAACGAACTCAAAAGTGCTCACTATAAAATCACAAGGGCCAAAGAAAGATTGCCTGGTTTATGATGTCCTAGTCTCACACACACTCTTCTGAAACATCCTAAACTCTTTTTCATCCATTGTCATCTATTTTCACTCATTCCTGGGGTATGCCTTCCCATTTTATGGGTGGGAAAACAGGCCCAGTGAACAATCCAAGTTAGCCTGACACAGGAAACAGCCCTGCCTTCCTGACTTCATGCCTAGCCCTTGGGCCCACTCCTTTCTCATACATGCTTCGCAAATATGCCAGTTTATGATTAAATAACTATGCCATGAGACCTATAGACAACTATAAAGCACTGGTTACAAAATTCCAAACACAATCTCCATTTGTGACCCTGTCTGAACAGATACAGTTCTTCTTACCACATGTGCCTTATTCCCTCCCACCTCAGTTTCCAGCTGTCTCTCCTGCCAGAATTAATCACTAGTCATTTTTTTCTCTTATACTTTTAATTCTTGGTATCCCATCCGATCTCTCCCAAGGGGCATTAAGCTCTTTGGAGGGCAAGAATTCTGTATTCCTTCACTTCTGCATTCTCCACAACACCTTAAATAGTCTGCAGTCAGTAAACTCTGACTTAACTACGTTTTCTTTTAAACTCACTAGACTATCCAAAAGAGAGCCAGGTCCCCCTCCATCCTCACCTCAAAATGTGTCTAACCCACCCTTGCCTCCTGGGGTCCCTTCCCTGGCATACCCCTCGGCCTCCACCCGAGGATGTCGGCCAAGAATAGCGAGGGCTATGGGCCAGCGGGGCCCAAGAGGTGTCTGGTTGTTCCGTGGCAGAGCAGGCCCCTTTCCTCCCTCACCTGTCCGACCCCTTGATGGCCGTGTTGGACTTGACCCGAAAGGCCTTGGCAAACATGTCTGCTGGGGTGGCCTGGGGAAGAGAGCACAGAAGCCAGGGAATGTCAAGAAAGCGAGGGCGCAGCAGCTGCCAGGCCCTCAGCCGTGGGGGCAGCCATGCTGGGGCCCGGCCGCGAAAAGGGCCCGGCTGGAAACCAGGGCCGCGCAGCTTCGTGGCCGTTGCCGCTGGGGAGGCCGCGGCCGCCCCCAGTGGCGGTACCTGGAACTAAAGCAGGGCAGGGAGGGGCAGGGCCCAGGGAACGCCCCTCCCCCCCACCTTCCCATCCCCTCGCGGGCCTGGCTCTGCGCCTGCGCGAGCGGCTCGGGTTCCCCGTCCGTAGCGACTCGGCCACGCCAATAGCTGTTCTGTTTATTTCCTTCCACCCCATCAACCTTAGGAACTGCTTTGAGTAGAAGCTCTCTGCAAGCTCCCATTCCATTCGGTTCGGTTCAATTCCGCAAAAATAATTGAACTGATAAACAGTTCAGGCTTCGGCCGGGCGCGGTGGCCCAAGCCTGTTATCCCAGACTTTGGGAGGCCGAGGCGGGCGGACCGCTTAAGCCCAGAAGTTCGAGACCAGCCTGGGCAACATGGCGAAACCCCATCTCCATAAAAAATACAAAATAAAAAAAAAAAAAAAAAAAAAAAAAAAGAAAGAAAGAAAGAAAGAAAAAGAATTGGGAGGCCGAGGTGGGCGGATCACCTGAGGTCGGGAGTTCGAGACCAGCCTGATCAACATGGAGAAACCCTGTCTGTACTAAAAATACAAAATTAGCCGGGCATGGTGGAGCATGCCTGTAATCCCAGCTACTCGGGAGGCTGAGGCAGGAGAATTGCTTGAACCCGGGAGGCAGAGGTTGTGGTGAGCCGAGATTGCACAATTGCACTCCAGCCTGGGCAACAAGAGTGAAAGTCCGTCTCAAAAAAAAAAAAAAAAGAAAAGAAAAAAGAAAAATTCAGCCGGGTGTGGTGGCGCATGCCTGGGGAGGCTAAGGCGGTAGGATCGCTTGAGCCCAGGAGGCAGAGGTTGCCGTGAGCCGAGATTGTGCCACTGCACCCCACCTTGGACAACAGAGTAAGACTCCGTATCAAAAAAATCAAACAAACAAACAAAAAAACCTCGAGGGCTTTTTGAATATTTTTCTTTATTTTATTTTATTTTGTTTACTTGGAGACAGGGTCTCGCTGTGTCACCCAGGCTGGAGTGCAGTGGCGCAATCTCAGCTCAATGCAGCCTCCACCTCCCGGGCTCAAGCGATCCATCCGCTTCAGCCTCCCGAGTAGCTGGGACTACAGGCGGGCACCACCACACCAGGCTAATTTTTGTATTTTTTGTAGAGACAGGATCTCACCTTGTTGCCCAGGCTGGTCTCAAACTCCTGAGGTCAAGAGATCTGTCCGCCTCGGCCTCCCAAAGTGGTGGGATTACAGGACAGGTGTGAACCACCAAGTCGGGCCTAAATGTTTTTCTTAAAGGCATTCTATGATTAAGGTCTATTCATTGTACTATAAGCTAGAAGCCTCAGCTAGAATTTTCTGTAAGATTTTTCTCATCCCGGATTTTTAGTTTACTTGGGTGGTAATAACAGTAATAGAGAATTCACTGTTGTCCCAGATTTGTCCCAAAGTCACACAGGCAGGGAAGAGAAATTAGGTTTTCCTCAAAGGGACAGCTGTGTTCCCTGGAGACAAGGATTTAAACACCCGGAATCCTGGCTCTTCGTAAATTAAGTCTTGCATATTAAAATTACATTAAGCAATTTAAGTAATAAAAGTAAATTATGTTTTGCATATTAAAACTTCCAAGTGTCCATTCACCAATAAAAAATCCCAATTGATTCAGTGACGCAGTTGCACAAAGGAGAATTCCACACTGGCTTTCTAAACATTAGGCCTTCTACAATGTTTGCCCACCACCTATAGTGGCCTAGGGACCAGCCCCAACTCCTCCTAAACCTGTGACCCACTAGGCCTTTATTCTGAAGTATCCCAGCCACCAGGCCAATGTCAAAGGAGCCCAGAGGAGGACAGTGCCTACAACAGACCCCTGTACCCACCCTTCACCTCCCACTTAGCCACTCTTCGGATGTGCAATACATTTGGGGTCTTTTGCAGCACAGCTGCTGAGGAAGCCTCTTTCTTAGGGAACAGAGGAAAGCTATTCAGAGAATACTAAACATTTTAAGCTAGGGGAACTTTTGTATACCAGATGTCCTTGGATAAGAAAACATCAATTGTAAACCTAAAAATTAATTAGTGGTTGACAAGTAGGAGCCAAGACCCCAGAGGATTCTGCACCATGGCATCCAGCCTCCTCTTTGGTAGAGCAAGAGCCCCCTTCCCCAGTGGGCACAATCCCACCTTCTCTGCTTGCATCACAGACCTGCCTGCTCCCTGCTGGCTGACCCTATTGCAGGGAAAGCAGCCTGAACCTTAAGTTCAGCAAGCCCTGATTCCTGTGCCTTCCATCAGCAGCTCCAGAGCCACCCCACAGGGCTCCCAGACTGTTCCCCACTGGTGGGTCTGAGCTGCCAAGTTGCAGCAAGGCACAGGGCAACTATACCAAGAAAGCTGCCATTTACTGAGAAAAAGGATCGTTTTCACTAATTATACTTGATAGCAACTGGCTGTAAATTGGATTCTTTACAAGAGTACCAAGTATTTGGAAGCAAGGGTAGGCCAGATGAGAGATTCCATTTTCCTTAGACTTCCTTTTTCTTCTCTTCCCAGTGAGTCCTAATGGAGAAAATTTAGTTTAATTCATTGAAACTTAACTGGAAGCTTTCTAATCAGGCTCTGTGATTTTTAAGACAAATTCGACACAAGCACTCTGCCCTCAAGGAACTCACAGTCTAACAAGTGGTATTTATGTCCTCTTGAAGTCTATAGGACCACAGGGTACCCAAACTGATAATTCATCCATGGCTACCTACTAGTTACTCCTTCACTAGCCTTCTCTTCCCTTCTACTGAAGCCCACACGCAAATCCCCTGAAAATATGGATCATTGGCATCTACATTTCAAATGTGACCAATGGTTTGAGAATTCTTTGATGGATCTGGATGGCTTTTCAGATGAGCAAGTGTGTTCACAGCCTCAGAAAGAGTCATGTTATCTTCACCCATATACAGATGATTCAGGGATACGGGATTTTTACTTTTTCAAATGTGTCCATGCCCATTGCCTCATGTTACCTTCATACCAATGCTGTAAGCAGTTATTGTTAACCCCTTTGCCAGGTGAGAAACCTGGAGTACAGAGATGTTAACTAACTTGTCCAGGCTCACACAGTTACCTTGCATGATTTAGTCTGTGGATGATGCTTTCCAACCACTAGGAAAAAATGGATGCAATAAATGATGTCAGGACAAATGCCTATCCATTTAGGAGGAAAGTTTACCTCATATTTTCATAAAAAGAAATTCCAGATAAAGATCTAAATGTAAAACAAAACAAAACAAAAACTACCACAAAACTAAGCATGCTTTTACCATATAATCCAGCAATCACTCTCCTTGGAATTTATATAAATGAGTTGAAAATGTATATCCACACAAAAACCTACACATAGTCATTTATAGTAGCTTTACCCAGAATTGACAAGACATGGAAGCAAACAAGATGTTCTTTGGTAGGTGAATGGATAAATAAACTGTGGTACATGCAGATGATGAAATATTCTTCACCACTAACAAGAAATGAGCTATCAAGCCATTAAAAGACATGCAGGAGCCAGGCGCAGTGGCTCACGCCTGTAATCCCAGCACTTTGGGAGGCCAAGGTGGGCAGATCACTTGAGGTCAGGAGTTCGAGACCAGCCTAGCCAACGTGGTGAAACCCCATCTCTACTAAAAAATACAAAAATCAGCCACACGTGGTGGTGGGCACCTGTAATCCCAGCTACTTGGGAGGGTGAGGCACGAGAATTGCTTGAACCCAGAGGTGGAGGTTGCAGTGAGCTGAGATTGTGCCACTGCACTCTAGCCTGGGCGATAGAGTGAGACTCAGTCTGAAAGAAAGGAGAGAGAAGAGAGAAGTGAGAGAGAACATGAAGGAATCTTAAATGTGTATTATTATATTAAGTGAAAGAAGCCAATCTGAAAAAGATCATACTGATAGTATGTAAGTGATGGTTCCAACTATATAACATTCTGGAAAAGGCAAAACTTTGGAGATAATAAAGAGATCTGTGGGGGAGGGAAAGATGAACAGGTAGAGCACATGTTGGGAGAAAAGCTGAGTGTTGGGAGAGCAGCTGAGGCAGGGCTTCCATGTCTGCTAGACTTGCTGGCTCCTTGCTTCTAGCACACCCATTATTTCAAGCAGCCATTCACTTGATACACTGTTTCCTGTCAACCCCCACATCTTCACCACCTGTTTGTTTGTTTGAGCACCAATAAGCAGCCATGGACGCCCAGAAATCGGGGCCTTGGCAGCCTCCACACTCACGATGGTCCCCTGGTCCCACTTTCTCTCTCAAACTGTCTTTTTCTCATTCTTTTGACTCTGCTGGACTTCGTCGCCCCCACGACCTGGTGTTGGGTCTGATCACCCCAACAACATTCTGGAAAAGGCAAAACTATGGAGATAGTAAAGAGATCCGTGGGGGAGGGAAAGATGAACAGGTAGAGCACAGAGGATTTTAGGGCAGTGAAATGCTTCTGTATGACACTACAGTAGTGGGTACATGTCATTATACATTTGTCCAGACCCACAGAATGTACGACACCTAATGAACCATAATGTAAACTATGAACTTGCAGTGATAATGATATGTCAATATAGGCTCATTGATTATAATACGCAAATAAATAAGCCTTGATTCATAACTCACAGCCTATTCACATACAAACTCAAAACAGATTGTAGACCTGAATAGAAAACAAACCATAAAACTTCTAAAAGAAAACATACGAGAACACCTTTGTGACCTTGTGTTACACAAAGATTTTTTAGATATGACACAGTAAACATGACCCATTAAAATAAATAATAACAATTTGGACTTCATAAAAATGAATAAATTTTGCTCTTCAAAAGACAGGTTAAGATCTTGAAAATTCCAGCCAGGCACAGTGGCTCACGCCTGTAATCCCAGCACTTTGAGAGGCCAAGGCAGGCGGATCACTTGAGGTCAGTAGTTTGAGACCAGCCTGGCCCATACAGTCAAACCCTGTTTCTACTAAAAATACAAAAATTAGTTGGGTGTGGTAGCAAGTGCCTGTAATCCCAGCTACTTGGGAGGCTGAGGCACAAGAATCACCTGAACCCAGGAGACAGAGGTTACAGTGAGCCGAGATGGCACCACTGCACTGCAACCTGAGCGACAGAGCCAGACTCCATCTCAAAAAAAAAAAATCTGGAAAATTGCAAAATAAGTAAATTTTAAGTGTTCTCATCATAAAAAAGTATGTGAAGTAATACATATGTTAATCAGTTCAATTTAGCCATTTCACAATTTATATGTTTAAAAACAATATGTTGTAGATGATAAATGTACATTTAAAAAATACAAAAAAAATACAATTTTTATTTGTCAAATAAATAATATTTTGGCGATGCATGGTGGCTCATGCCTAAAATCCCAGCACTTTAGAAGGCTGAGGTAGGAAGATCACTTGAGCCTGGGAGTTTAAGACCAGCCCAGTCAACATAGCCAGACCTTGTCTCTACTAAAAATAATTTTTTTTAAATTAGTCAGTTGTGGCCGGTCGCGGTGGCTCACACCTGTAATCCCAGCACTTTGGGAGGCCGAGGCACGTGGATCGCCTGAGGTCAGCAGTTTGAGACCAGCCTGGCCAACATGGTGAAACCCTGTCTCTGCTAAAAATACAAAAACTAGCCAGGTGTAGTGGCGGGCGCCTGTAATCCCAGCTACTCGGGAGGCTGAGGCAGGAGAATTGCTTGAACCTGGGAGGTGGAGGTTGCAGTGAGCCGAGATAGCACCACTGCACTCCAGCCTGAGCAAAAGAGCGAGACTCCATCTCAAAAAAAAAAAAAAAAATTAGTCAATTGCATAGAAACAAGCGGATCCAGGAAAAAAAAAAAAACAATTAGTTGAGTGTGGTGATGTGTGCCTGTACAAGTCCTAGCTACATAGGAGGCAGAGGCAGGAGGCTTGCTTGAGCCTAGGAGTTTGAGGTTGCAGTAACTATGATTGCACCACTGTACTCCAGCCTGGGTGACAGAGCTAGACCCCATCTTTAAAAAAAAAAAAGTGTGTGTATATAAGTGTGTGTGTATATATATGACATATATGTGTGTGTGTATGTGTATATATATGACATATGTGTATATATGTATATATATGTATTTATATACACATATGTGTGTGTATATATATATATGACATGTTAAGAAAATGAAAAGATTAGCCATGGACTGGGTAAAAAGATTTATATCTGTAATATATAAAAACCTGTCAAAACTTAATAATAAGGAAACAACCCAATAAAAATTGGACAAAAGATTTGAACAGGAACTTCACCAAAGAAACTAGATGAATGACAATTAGGCACATGAAAAGATTATCAACATCATTAATCATTAGGAAAATGCAAATTAAACACAATGAAATATCATACACATTTATTAGAATGGTTGAAACAAAACCAAAGGCCAGGCATGGTGGCTCATGCCTATAATCTCAGCACTTTGAGAGGCTGAGATGGGCAGATCACTTGAGGTCAGGAGTTTGAGACCAGCCTGGCCAACATGGGAAACCCTGTCTCTACTAAAAATATATATATATTAAAAAAACAACAAAAAAAGCAGGGTGTGGTGGCGGGTGCCTGTAATCCCAGCTACTCGGGAGGCTGAGGCAGAAGAATCCCTTGAACCCAGGAGGCAGAGGTTGTAGTGAGCCAAGATCGTGCCATTGCACTCCAGCCTGGGTGACAGTGAGACTCCGTTTCAAAAAAAAAAAAAAAAATTGACAATGTTAAGTTGTGGCAAGGATGTGGAGCAACTGGAACTCTTAGGCATTGCTGGTGGGAATGCAAAATGATAAATAACTTTGGAAAACGGCCAGGTGCCATGGCTTGTACCTGTAATCCTAGCATTTTGGGAGGCCAAGGTGAGTGGATCGCTTGAACCCAGGAGTTCAAGACCAGCCTGGGCAAAATGGTGAAACCCTGTCTCTAAAAAACTAACAAAAAATTAGCCAAGGAAGGGGTAAGGGGGTGGCTGAGGTGGGAGGATCGCTTGAGCTCAGGAGGCAGAGGTTGAAGTGAGCCGAGATCCCACCACTGCACTCCAACCTGGGTGACAGAGTGAGACCTTGTCTCAAAAAAAGAAAAAAAAAAAAGGCCGGGCGCGGTGGCTCACACCTATAATCCCAGCACTTTGGGAGGCTGAGGCAGGTGGATCACGAGGTCAGGAGATCGAGACCATCCTGGCTAACAAGGTGAAACCTCGTCTCAACTAAAAATAGAAAAAATTAGCAGGGTGTGGTGGCAGGCACCTGTAGTCCCAGCTACTCAGGAGGCTGAGGCAGGAGAATGGCGGGAACCCGGGAGGCGGAGCTTGCAGTGAGCTGAGATGGCGCCACTGTACTCCAGCCTGGCCGACAGAGCAAGACTCCGTCTCAAAAAAAAAATAATAAAAAAAAAAAAAGGGAGAAAACTTGTGTTCATACAAATCTGGACATAAATGATGATCAGAGGCTTTTTCATAATTGCCAAACCCTAGAAACAATTCAAATTTCAAATGTCATATATACAGGACAAAGATCTAACAAAAAAGGATAGTGTCACTGTGCTTTCGGGTTAACCAGTCCTTTGCTGGTGAATTGAATGGGGGAAAGGGGAACTCTGACTTAGAGTGCTTACCCATTTCTGCATTGTAAATACTCCTACCATGGCCTATTTCAAGTTAGGTTTAACAAACCGCAGCTTACAAAATTCTTGAATATTTAACAATCAGCTTGACCAAGTTATATAATCTCTCTGAGCCTCAGTTTTTTGTAAAATATTAATGGATAAAACTGCCTGGCCGGGCATGGTGGCTCACACCTACCTGTAACCTCGGCACTTTGGGAGGCCAAGGCAAGAGGATCATTTGAGCTCAGGAGTTCCAGGCTAGCCTGGGCAACATGGTGAAACCCTGTCTCTAAAAATATACCAAAAAATTAGCTGAGTGTGATGACATGAACCTGTAGTCCCAGCTACTCGGGAAGCTGAGGCAGGATAATTGCTTGAGCCCAGGAGGTTGAGGCTGTAGTGAGCTGACATAGCGACACCACACTCCAGCCTGGGCAACAGAGTGAGGCCCTGTTTCAAACAAAACAAAACTGTCTAACTTCATCGTAGTGAGGATTAAATGGAATAATATGCATCAAACTCTTAGCACAGGGTCTAGCAAATAGTAAACACTCAAAGGGTAGCTATTATTATATTGATTGCTTAGGCCTTAATATAGAGTACTCAGCTGCTTAAAGCAGAGGAAAAACAAGCAAAATCATACAACCAGTGTCCAAAGTCTGCAGCACATGAAATAGAACACTATAAAGGATCATCATGATAGTGATCGGTTGGAGGTTCTGAGCAATTTTCCCACGTTAAGCTTCTCCAAGTCCTGAGGTAAGGGGGGAAACAGAAAGGCTTCCAACCATAATGATGGATTCTGGCTTTCTAGTCAATTCCCCTTGTTCACTTGCATTGGGAGACAAGAAAGAAAAACTTTTGAGAATACATGGCCAATAAGAGTGGAAGAGGCTCTGAAATCAGGGAATCATTTGTTATTGCTGTATACAGATGTGTAGCTGTTATGCATTATTCCCAGGTTCAAGATCCTTAAACCTTAAAAAAGGTTACCATTGTGGCAATTTAAAGTGTGCTCCTATTTCATTTAATCTGGAATCCCGAGACTCGTTCTGTTTTCACCCACATGTCAGCCACAGTGCTTGGTCATAGTTGCTTCACAAACGCGTGTGGACTTGAATCCCACATTAGAGCTCAAAGGTTCCTCAAGAGCTTCTAATCCCAGGATGGCAAATAAGCTTTATGTGCCATGTCAACTCTCCCAGGTTGGTACCAGCTGACTAGGGAGCCATGCTGAGGATTCTGAAGCCAAATCTGAGGAGCTGAGAAAAGAAGGCTGTAATTAAAGGGCATGGTGTCTTCTCAGCCCCAGAAGGGAAAGTGGTGATGCCTAGGCTGTTTGTTGCCAATGCTACCCTAATCCCACCCTTCATTTACAGCAGAACAACCTGCAAGCCAAAAGTAGAGACCCAGGATAAAAAATAAAAATATTCTGAAAACTTTTAGGTAAAGTCATGGATAACAAAGCTTTCGTGGGTCATTGTGGGAAAAGTAGCATTTTCTTTCTCTAAACTTTGAGGTCAGACCATAATCTTCTAAAGTATCTTTTAGAAGTATTCCTTGGGTGCTGGGTGCGGAGACTCACACCTGTAATTCCAGCACTTTGGGAGGCCGAGGTAGGAGGATCACCTGAGGTCAGGAGTTCTAGACCAGCCTGGCCAACATGGCAAAACTTCTGTCTCTACTAAAAATACAAAAATTAGCTGGGCATGGTAGCGCATGTCTGTTAAAAAAAAAAAAATGTATTCCTTGGGGCCTCGCTGAAAAAATGAACATGGAGGAGAGAGGTGGGTGGACAACAATTATCCTACTGCTCTTATTGCTAATCTTATTAGTTCTAGAGCCACACCTAGGGCTGCTTCCCACTCAGCTCTGACCACCACACCTCATTCTCCTTCCCTGTCCGTCTTTCCCTAGAGGGTCTTAATCCAGTGGTTCTCAAAATGTCGTTTCTAGAGCCACAGTGACATCAGCTAGGATTTTGTCAGAAAAACAAATTCTCAGATACTACCCTATATCTACAAAATAAGGAATTTTTTTTGTTTGTTTTTTGTTTGTTTTTGTTTTTGTTTTGAGATGGAATCTCGCTTTGTCGCCTAGGGTAGAGTACAGCTGTGCGATCTTGGCTTACTGCAATCTCGGCCTTCCAGGTTCAAGTGATTCTCCTGCCTCAGCCTCCCAAGTAGCAGGGATTACAGGCACTCGCCACCACAACCGGCTAATTTTTGTATTTTTAGTAGAGACACGGTTTGGCCGTGTTGGCCAGGCTGGTCTCAAACTCCTGACCTCAAGTAATCCACCCGCCTTGGCCTCCCAAAGTGCTGGGGTAACAGGGTGAGCCACTGTACCTGGCCCTGTGCTTGTTTCAATAATAGCTTTATTGAGATATAGTTCATTGCCCTACAACTCACCCATTTAAAGTGGACAATTCAGTAGCTCTTAGAATATTCACAAAGTTGCACAACCATCACCACAATCAACATTTTAGAACATTTTCATCACCCTCAAAAGAAACCCTGTACCCATTAGCAGTCACTCCTCGATTTTCCTCAGCTGCTCAGTCCTAGACAACCACTGATTGACTTTCTGTCCCTATTGATTTGCCTTTTCTGGACATTTCATATAAATAGAATTATACAATGCATGGCCGTTTGTGACTGGTTTCTTTCATTTAGTTCACTGTTTTCACAGCTTATACATGTTGAGCCTTGTATGTACGTGTGTCAGTACTTCATTTCTTTTCATTGCTAAAGAATATTCCATTGTATGTGTATATGACATTTTGTTTGCCCATTAGTCAGCTGATAGACATTTGGGTTTGTAGCCACTTTGGGGCTACGAATGATGCTATGAACATTCATATACAAGTTTTTCTGTGAACACATTTTTATTTCTTTGGGGCATATACATAGGAGTGAAATTGTTGGGTCATATGGTAACTCTATATTTAACATTTTGAGGAACTGCCAGAATGTTTCCCAGGTTGTCTCATATTGTTTTTGATATTACGGTGTCTCATATTGGTTTTGATTTGCATTGCCTGATGGCCAATGACGTTGAGCATATCTTCATGTGTTCATTGTCCATTTTTATATCTTCTTTGGAGAAATGCCTATTTAGATTCTTTGCCCATTTTTAAATTGGGTTATTTGTCTTATTATTGAGTTGTAAGAGTTCTTTATTCTAGTTACAAGTCCTTTATCAAACATATGATTTGCAAAAATTTTCTCCCATTATGTGGATTGTCTTGGTATTTTCTTGATGGTATCCTTTGAAGGACAAAAGTTTAAAATTTTGATGTATTCTAATATACATTTTGTTTTTGTTGTTCATAGTTACTTGTGCTTTTGGTGTCATGTCTAAAAAACCACTATGTAATTCAAGGTGATGAAGATTTACGTCTATGTTTTTTTCTAGGAGTTTTATACTTTTTGCACTTACTTTTAGGTTTTTTATCTATTTTGAGTTACTTTTTGTAAACAGTGTGAGGTAGGGAGTCAAACTTTATACTTTTGATATAGATATCAAGTTGTCCCAGAACCATTTGTTGAAAAGACTACTTGTTTCCCCATTGAATTGTCTTGGTAGTCTTGTCAAAAATCAATTTGCTGGCTGGGCATAGTGGCTCACATCTGTAATCCCAGCACTTTGGGAGGCTGAGGCAGGTGGATCACTTGAGGCCAAGAGTTTGAGACCAGCCTGTCTGATATGGTTTGGCTCTGTGTCCCCACCCAAATCTCACCTTGAATTGTAATAATCCCCACATGTCAAGTGGGGGACCAGGTGAAGATAATCGAATCATGGGGGCAGGTCCCCCCCCCACCACCCCATGCTGTTCTCTTGATAGTGAGTGAGTTCTCAAGAGATCTGATGGTTTTATAAGGGGCTTCCCCTTTTGCTCGGCACTCATTTTCTCTCCTGCCGCCCTGTGAAGAGGTGCATTCTGCCATGATTGTAAGCTTCCTGAGGCCTCCCAAGCCATGCAGAACTGTGAGTCAATTAAACATCTTTTCCTTATAAATTACCCAGTCTCAGGTACTTCTTCATAGCAACATGAGAATGGTTTAATACACTGGCCAACATAGTGAAACCCCCTCTCTACTAAAAATACAAAGATTAGCCAGGTGTGGTAGCATGCACCTGTAATCCCAGCTACTTGGGGGACTGAGGCATGAAAATCATTTGAACCCAGGAGGTGGAAGTTGCAGTGAGCTGAAATCGCACCACTGCACTCCAGCCTGGGCAACAGAGCAAGATTCTGTCTCAAAAAAAAAATCAATTATCCATAAATGTGAGGCTTTATTTCTGGATTCTCAGTTTTATTCTACTGATCTTATGCCAGTACCAAGTGTTTTGATTACTATAGCTTTGCAGTAAGTTTTGATATCAGAAAGTGTGATTCTTCCAACTTTGGTCTCGTTTTTAAGACTGTTTTGGTTATTCTTGGTCCCTTGAATTTCTGTATGAATTTTAGGATCAGCTTGTCAATTTCTGTAAAGAAGAAAACTGAGATTTTGATACAGATTGCATTGAATCTGTAGATCAATTTGGCAAATACTGCCCCCTTAGCAATATTAAATCTTTCAATCCCTGAACATGGCCTCTCTTTCCATTTATTTAGATATCCTTTAATATATTTCAATGATGTACTTTTTAGTTATTTTCTTAAATTTATTTCTAAGTATTTTCCTTATTATGCCATTATAAAATGAACTGTTTTCTTTATTTTATTTTCAGATTGTTCATGCATGCATATAGAAATACAATTGATTGGCCAGGCGTGGTGGCTCATGCCTGTAATCCCAGCACTTCCGGAGACCGAGGCGGGCGGATCACGAGGTCAGGAGATCGAGACCATCCTGGCTAACATGGTGAAACCCCGTCTCTATTAAAAATACAAAAAATTAGATGGGTGTGGTGGCGGGCACCTGTAGTCCCAGCTGCTCGGGAGGCTGAGGCAGAAGAATGGCGTGAACCCGGGAGGCAGAGCTTGCAGTGAGCCGAGATCCGGCCACTGCACTCCAGCCTGGGCGACAGAGCAAGACTCCATCTCAAAAAAAAAAAAGAAAAGAAAAGAGAGAAAGAAAGAAATACAATTGATCTTTGTGTATTGATCTTGCGTCCTACAGCCTTGCTGAACTCATTTATTAGGTCTAATATGTTTCAGTGGATTCCTTAGGATTTTCTGCAAGTATAGATACAATGTGACAGATACAAGATTATGTCATCTGCAAAAGCAGTGCACTTTAAGAAGTCTTCCAGGTGATTCTTATGCAAGTCAAAGTTTGAGAAACATCACATTAATCTCATTTCTTGCTAAAGTTCCAGCGAAACTAGACTCCCATTGAATCTCTTTCCTGTTTCACTTTGATACTGTAAGCATGTGGGCTTTAGTGTAGAAGCAGTAAAGTGTGGTATGATAGCATAGGAGGGCTAGGAAATATAAATAGCAATATATTGGCAGCTGTGACTTTTCCAACTACTATTCCTTTAATTTTTCAAAACTGCTGCCTTAGTACCATACTTTCACTGTTAGAAGACAAGAGGGCCAAAAAGGTCATAGGTAAAATTTAGGGATATAAGAATTTAAGTAGTATACAAGATGGTTGAACAATTCCAACTCTTAGGTATTTATCTGTAGTGGGTTGAATAGTGTCTCTCCAAAATTCACGTCCACCTAGAATCTCAGAATGTGACCTTATTTGGAAACAGAGTCTTTGCAGACATCATAGTTAAGCTAAGATGAGGTCAAACAGGATTAGGGTAGGCCCTAAATCCAATGACTATTGTCCTTATAAAAGGAGGAGAGGACACACGGAGACAGAGACAGAAGAACGAAGAGCCTGTGACAAAGGAGGCAGAAACCAAAGTGACGTATCTGCACGCTAAATAATGTCAAGGATTGCCAGCAGCCACCAGAAGCTGTGAGAGAGGCATGGAAGATTCTCAGAGTCTCCAGAAGGAAACAGCTTTGCCAACACCTTGACTTTAGACTTCTGGCCTATTGAAGGAAAGGCCATGTGAGCTCACACGGAGAAGGCACCCATCTGCAAACCAGAAGTGGGCCCTCACCAGGACCCAACCATGCTGGCACCCTGATCTCGAACTTCTAGCCTCCAGAACTGTGAAAGAATAAATGTCTCTTGTTTAAACCACCCAGTCTATGTTATTTTTGTTGTGGTAGCCTGAACTGACTAATATATACATGCTGTATAATTTCATTTATATGAGGTTCAAGAACAAGCAAAACTAATCTATGATGGTTATCTCTGGGATGAGATAATTAACTGGAGAGGGGCACAAGGGAACTCTCTAGAGTTATGGAAATATTCTATATCTTGATTTAGTGTATGTTGCACAGGGGTACACATTTGCTGAAACTCATCACAAATGCATTTAAGAGCCATGCATTCATATACACTATGGAATACTATGCAGCCATAAAAAAGAATGAGTTCATGTCCTTTGTAGGGACATGGATGAAGCTGGAAACCATCATTCTCAGCAAACTATCATAAGGACAAAAAACCAAACACCACATGTTCTCTTTCATAGGTGGGAATTGAACAATGAGAACACTTGGACACAGGAATGGGAACATCACACACCGGGCCTGTCGTGGGGTGGAGGGAGGGGAAGGGATAGCATTAGGAGATAAACCTAATGTAAATGATGAGTTAATGGGTGCAGCACACCAACATGGCACATGTATACATATGTAACAAACCTGCACGTTGTGCACATGTACGCTAGAACTTAAAGTATAATATATAATAATAAAAATAAATAAATAAAGTAGCACATTGGCAAACCCCCACCCCCCCCCAAAAAAAGAGCTGTGCGTTTTGCTGGGTATAAAATTTACCTTAAAAATTAGTCAATAAAAAATTCAAAAATTAAAAAAAAGAATTAGGGAATAAGATTATATGCACTTGAGTAGGTGTGAGGTTATATAAGTTTGTAAGAGGGAAAGAGGAAAAGTTACTTAGGATGATTTTTCTAAGATTAGGTTTCAAGTCTAATTTAAGGAATTACAGCTGAAGATTTTATGCCTTCCATGTAGTATTAAGATTTAACAAATAAAAACATGAAGTGCTCAGTTAAATTTGAATTTCAGATAAACATCAAATCAGTTTTTAGGATATTATATTCCAAATATTACAGGGGACACACTTATACTAAAAATTAAACATTATTTATCTGAGATGTAAATTCAGCTGGGCATTCTGTATTTTTCCTGGCAACCCAAATACACATATCCTGGTCATACAGTGGGGATATGCTGAGCTTGTGAGGTCCAGCCCAAGAAAGGCAGGTAGAGCCAAAAATGAGAGGACTATTTAGGAAAAGTGGATGGAAGCTGTTAAGTTCCCGTAAAAGGTACAGATTCAATGACTGTGAGCTGAGAACGTGATTCTTTGTGAGTGAAAAACAAAGACAGGCAGGAGAAAGGCGGGGCCTCCGTGGAGACCATGGGGTGTGAATGAGGATCTGGTTCCTTCTGTACACCTAGCAAAGGGCCTTGCCTATAAAAGACATTTGTTAAATACAATCTGTTTGATTTTGTTGCACACATCTGGAGGAAAAGAAGCTGAAACTGTGGTTTTTGGATCACTTCAATATTGATGGTATTTCTTAAGAAGTTCTGGTAGTCTACAGGTAAAGCTATTTGGTTTTTTTGTTTTGTTTCTTTTATTTCTGAGACGGAGTCTCACTCTGTCACCCAGGCTGGAGTGCAGTGGCGTGATCTCAGTTCACCACAACCTCTGCCCCCCAGGTTCAAGCAGTTCTCCTGCCTCAGTCTCCCAAGTAGCTGGGATTACAGGTGTGTGCCACCATGCCCAGCTAATTTTTTTTTTTTTTTTAGTAAAGATGGGGTTTCACTATGTTGGCCAGGCTGGTCTCGAACTCCTGACCTTGTGATCTGCCCGCCTCGGCCTCCCAAAGTGCTGGGATTATAGGCATAAGCCACCTTGTCTGGCCCAGCTATTTGTTTAATCAAAGACTGTATGAGTATAGGCAATGCCTTGCAGTCCCATTGTTCTTTTAGAGGCTGGATTTTAAAAAGTCAGATTTCCTTTCCAGCTCTCTCCAGTTCCTAGGGCTATGACACCTCTGCGGAAAGATGATATGAGGACATATTGCTCTTACTCCAGTGGACCTTTCTTGAACTTTGTTTCGATATTATTAAGGAGCACAAACTGGATAAAAATAGAGTTCTTTAAAGGTGTCTCCCTCATTGAAAACCGTGATTTCCTAATTCAGTAGTGCTATCTGTGTCTCAGGAGAGCAGTACTGAGACCCTGAAGATGGTGAAAAGGAGCCTGGAACCTGGAGGCCACTGAGTTTTACAGGATTCTGGAAATCCTGATCTCAATACAAAGCTAGAATACAGAAAGACATCCTCTCAAATCTCTTTACCTTAAAGCATAATTTAAAAAATTGTATTGGTATCAACTATTAAAACGATCACACACACACAAGAAGAAGAGGAAGAAAGAAGAAAAAGAAGAGGAAGAAAGAAGAAGAAGAAGAAGAAGTAGGAGAAGGAGAAGAAGGAGAAGAAGAAGAAGAAAGGAGAAGAAGAAAGAAGAAGAAAGAAGAAGAAGAAAGAAGAAAGTAGTCAGCGCATCAGAGGAGAGAGCAGCTCCTGGAACTCCCGACAATAGAGAAAGCCAAGGAGGGCCTGGGAATCTTGAAGGAAAGAGGCTGGTTTTCAGGGCCCAGTGGAGACATATTTCCTGATCTCTGCAGTTCCTGCAGGGGTCTCAGCCTAGGAAGGCTGTGTGTGTTTCCAGGCTTCCAGGACAAGAGCAGGCTTTTCTCTTAAATAGCAAGCAAGTAAGCAGCAAGCAAACAAACAAAAGTGAAGGCTTTCTCAAGCCAAGGTGACCAGCAAGTAGAATGTTGGGAAAGTAGGACAAATAAAGACAGAGATGTCCATGTACTGCGGAATAATTTCTAAAATGCTGCTGACATCAGCATCCTTGCTGAGAGCCACTAGTGTCTGGCATGGGGAATATGAAGATTATTAATAAATAATCAAGGATTGAGACAGACCCATGCATATATCATTCTAATCAATGCCCATGGAAACACCTGAATTTTCCTCCAACCCAGATATTTGCTCATCATTATTAGAGAAGGGGCTGAGCTGGGCAGAGGAAAGGGCAGAGAGGAGGACCTCCAGCTTGAGACTCCCCAATCCTGCGGACAGCTGGACCTACCCTGCTTTGAGACAGTATAGGGATCATAAGGATTTTTTGGAATTTCTTTGGGGAGCCTTACCCTTATCCCCCAACTGTTCCCACTAGGTGCTCAACCAAGCATTTCTTCCAGGCACATATGGTTGTCTCCATGAATGTAATCTAAATAAAAACAATATTCTCCTACTTCTTACATTTCCAGCTTAGTTTTAACAACCCTAGTGGATTAGCTTCCTAGGCACAAGTTTGACTGGAACACCCCCAATCCGGCTTTTATTAAAGTACAGACAGGTGAATGAAATTTGAGGATTAGGAACACAGAGGCATGGTGGTAGGGCCCCTAGCTGCTGAGCTGTAATTATCATGCATGGAAGTACTTCATGAATTGTTTTATAGAGCTTGGGGGCCATTTTTGAGGCAGAGGGGAACCTGTCTTCCATCATTTGGGTGACTTGGTAAGATGCATTTCAAAGTCTGGTGTCCAGGCTTTTGAGACTTGGGAATTTTAAAGACTTCCAGTAGCCTGGTGACCCTGATGTGGACTTTCAGAACACAGATAAAGCTGATTTCCAACACCTAGCTGTAGTGAATATCTGTTGTGTTTGCTGTACCATATTCACTTATCTCTTTTTTGGGACCCGCTATAGCAACTTTCCTCTGAAAGTCACTGTTTTCCTAACTTTCTGTCCAATATGTTTCTACTGCTGTGTCTAGGAGCCTCAGGCCTGACCAGTCAGAGTATTACATTTTCCTGGCTGCATATTTGGTTTAAGAATGGGCCCAGTGAAAGCCAGTGAATTACAGTGAGACTGTGGGATGACTGAGACAGCTTTTCTACTGAGTTGAACTTGGAACTGCAGTTGCCATCTTGCTTGCACAAAAGAACCCTGAGAATGAAACTAGCATGTTGGAATATAGAAACAAGAAATGGAGATAGGACAGGCACCCATCATATTCAAATTTAGCTTTACTGCTTTTAAAAAAATACTGTAAAAAAGGTATATGGTACATTTTCTTTTCTTTTTTCCTTGTTTTCTTTTTCTTTTTTTTTTTTTTTTTTTTTTTGAGACAGTTTTGCTCTTGTTACCCAGGCTGGAGTACAATGGCACAATCTCTGGTCACTGTAACCTCCACCTCCTGGGTTCAAGCCATTATCCAGCCTCAGCCTCCCAAGTAGCTGGGATTACAGGTGCCCGCCACCACACCTGGTTAATTTTTGTATTTTTAGTAGAGATGAGGTTTCACCATGTCGGCCAGGCTGGTCTCGAACTCCTGACCTCAGGTGATCCACCTGCCTCAGCCTCCCAAAGTCCTGGGATTACAGGCGTGAGCCACCGCACTCGGCTAGTACATTTTCTTTAAACAGATTTAGTTTGATATTTGCAATAGAAAAAGCCCTAACCTGTACACTAGGTGATTGAGAGAGAACTAGTTCCTTGGCCCAAATGCTGTGAATAGAGCAGGTGCATTGGTCTTCTAAGACCTTCCATGAGCCAGATGACTCAATAGGACTTGGTCTCCAAGGTCTACAGTAGTGATTTCCAAACCTGGCTGATGAACAACAGCCACAATAAAAATATGAGCAGAGATCCTTACCAAGAAACTGTTCATCATTAGATCTGGTGGGATGGAGGGTAGGCATAATTGGTATTTTTCAAAAGTACCCCTATCATTTATTTATTGCCATACCCCAAAGCTTAGTGGCTTAAAGTAATCATTTTATTTGCTCATAATTCTCAAGGGGCTGTTGATTTGGGTGGGGTGCAGCCAAGAGGTTCTTCTGCTAGCTTTACGTGGAACTCTCATATGGCTGCTGTCAGCTGGCAACTCAGCCAGGTGGCTTCCCTCACTTGTCTGGCAATTGGTATTAGCTGAGGACTACAGAAATCCAGCTCAGACTTGTCCACATGGTGGCAGCATCTAAGAGCAAGAGAGAAGAAGCTGTAAGGGGGGTCTCCTGAGGCCTAAGCGCCTAAATTCCTCACGTGTTATTGGTCAAATCAAGTCACGTGGCCAGTCAGCTTCAAGAACCAGGAAAATTGTTTCCTCTACTCCCTGGGAACAGCTGCAAAGGATGTGCTATGTTTAATCTATTACAGTACCCAAGGTTCCTAAGCTTTAATGCAACAAATTACAAATTTAGTGGCTTGAAACAAGGAAAATTTATTATCTTACAGTTCTGGAAGTCAGAACTCCTAAAATTGAGGTGTAAGCAGAGATTCGTTCCTTCTGGAAGCTCTAGAAGAAAATTTGTTTCCCTGCCTTTTCCAGCTTCTAGAGGCCACCTTCATTCCTTAACTCACGGCCCCCTCCTCCATCTTCAAGACCAACAACAGCATCTTCAAATCTCTTTCCCTCTCTGACCTCTGTTCCATGGTCACATTTCCCTCTCTGACCCTCCTGCTTTCCCCTTCCATCCTTTTTTTTTAGATGGAGTCTCACTCTGTCACCCAGGCTGGAGTGCAGTGGCGTGATCTCTGCTCACTGCAACCTCAGCCTCCTGGGTTCAAGTGATTCTCCTGCCTCAGCCTCCCGAGTAGTTGGGACTACAGGCACACACCACCATGCCCAGCTAATTTTTGTGTTTTTAGTAGAGACGGGGTTTCACCATGTTGGCCAGGGTGGTCTCGAACTCCTGACCTCAGGTGATCCGCCCACTTCGGCCTCCCAAAGTGCTGGGATTACAGGCATGAGTTACTGCACCTGGCCTCCCCTTCCATCTTAAAAGGACTCCTGTGATTACAGTGGGCCCACTCAGATAATCTAGGAAAATCACCCCATCTCAAGATCCTTAACTTCATCACATTTGCTAAGTCCCTTTTTGTCAAGTAAAGTGACATATTTACAGATTCTTGGAATTAGGATGCGGACATCTTTGGGGAACTATCATTCTGCTTACCATCTTCAGAATCTTAAATCAAGAGAAACTATGTCACAGAATTCAAGGGTCCAGTGGTCTAGCCTGGGCTAGCCTGCCAGGCTCAGGGAATACAGGTGGAATACAGGCAGTCGAGGGGCTGAGTTTTTCAACCAAACAGACCAGGGTTTGAATTTCAGTTCATCACTTACTGGCTGGGTGACCTTGGGCAAGTTATTAAACTCTGAGACTGTTTTCTGAAGTGTAGGATGGAGATAATACCTATCTCACGGGACTACTGTGAGTTTTAAATGAGCAAATATGTTAAAGTGCTTCAGATAGTGCTTGGAACATAATAAATACTTAGCAAATGGTAATGATGATTAGAAAGACTCCTGGTTTGGTTTCAAGATTTCAGAAATGAAGCTTCATAGGACCCCTCAGGGCTATAGGTGGAACTGGTCACGCTGACTTAGGAGGAACAAGTGGAAAAAGATGGCAAAAGTTTTGGAAAAGAAAAATAGGTGAAGAGTTTGTGATAATAAGGACAACCTTTAGGGTTTAGGAGACACAGAACTAAGTGTGTCTTAGTTGTAGCTGTACTACAGCACTGCGGGCATGGCTTTTGTTTGCTTTGTTAATAAGGGGCATTTTTCAAATCTTGGTGGAGAGGGGAGGGCATAAGAACAGGAGATGCCTGAGGTATAGAAGAGAGACAGTTTTCTGAGGCTCCAGAAAAATAAGCCATGGCTTTAGTGTTCCAGTGAGCTAGATTTCAGTGTTTCTGAAAAAAATAGCAAGTATACATTTCAGGAACACGGGTCAATTTGAGGTTAACATAGCTTGAGGAAAAAAGTAAGTTTCACTGGTTCTCTCCAGTGATTTTTAAAAAATATTTTCCAATTCTGTGATGCACATGTCACAGTAGGCATTATGGCACATTTTGCTGTACAGAAATGTCAATGAAACTTGTCCAAACTTAACATAACCTACTAACAGCTATTTTATCACAAAATTCCAGGTAAATGTGGCCACGGGGATGTTTTCTTAATCTGTGCATTTGAAACTTTGATCACATTGTGAATGTCCCAGTGGGTTTTTAAGATCCTGGAATAGTTGCATCTTTTTTACTGTTGTTTATTTCCTTAGTCAATGTATTAGAACTTGCAGGTACCTTATTTTGCAGATGTCTTGGAATTGGCTTCAAAGGACAGACATGCATCTTATATGACTTTTGGCTAATTCATGGTGGGTAAATCTGACTTTAACTGCATGGAGAATGATAATGGTGATTTTAAACTACTCTTGAATGAGGCTTTGGAGGGGAAGAAAGGGCATGAATGATGTGGAAGCTGCTTGGGAGCTGGAGGGGACAGGGCAGCGCTCAGCAGGGGTGTGGAGGCTCCTGCCAGATCCCTTATGGGACGTTAACCCCATCATACAGGGGATCTTTGAAGAAACATTGGGTCACTAAGGTCAGAGATTTATGAAGCTCCAGCACCCTCGAGGAGTCCTCTTTCCCTTGACCATGGGAACAATAGGCGAAAGACAAAGGCGGCCTCTGTATTTCCCACCTTAGGAGCAAGAAAGGGAGCAGGAACCCTTCCACTTGGCTCTGGAAGATGTGTCTTAAGCACAGACTGCGGATGCAATCCTCTCACGAGCAGTGATTCAGAATGAGGTAAGAAATCATGTGGGGGCAAGTCTCATTCAACTGTTTAGGGAGGGCAGTAAAGTGGTCTGAGGTGTCTACATAAGTACTGAGAACGGGGATTATTTAATAGAATTTTGCAATCTTAGAGCTGGAAGGGACTTCAACAGTAACCTCGTCCAATCTTTGCGTTGCCATGGAACTCTTTCTTCAAACAAAAGCTTCGTAAGAGCCCAAATACAAACCCCTGTGAAAGCAGAATTGCTCTGGTTGCAAAGTGGGGGAAGGGAGAGACAAAAAGAAAAAGTTTATTTATAAAATAAACTTTAAAAAATCATCATGGAAGAAAACTTTTTTATTTATATGTATATCATAGAAAGGCTAAAGTAACATTGATCACAAAAAATAAAATTCCCCAAACCAATAGATTATTAGTTTATACAGTGAAGATACTTTGGCTCTTTAGGGACATTTTTACTTGGAGTCACGAGAACAGAGAATATGACTTTTAGTCACACGGAAATGAGCCTTGGATGGGAATTTTTAAGATTTATGGGAACTGTGTGCTATGCTGATTTGGGACAATAAGCGTTCTAGTCCCACCAGGTGGCGCCCGCGTTCGGCATTCTGAGAACGTTTGGTGTCTTCTGGACTCCAGAATCTGGACGGTCCGACCGCCTCGTGCTTGGTGGGTTTACAAACTCTGACTGGTTCTTACCACCCATCTAACAGGAAATTTTTTTTTTTTAAAAACAAACCAACCCATAAAACATCTGACCAGATGCCACACTCAAGAAAACACTTGTATTCGGGTGTTTTAACCTCCAACGATGGAAATCTGCTTAACATTGGTGTTTCTGAGGTGTCTTAGCATCAGAAAAGGAAAAAGACACATATACACACATTCTAAGGAAAAAGTCAGGAAGGGCCTTGCAGAGGTAGGTCCTGGTGCGGCAAGAGGACGGTTAGGCGTTAGAAGCTTCTAGTTCAGGCTTTGCCGCTTCATGCTCATGAGGAAGCGCGGCTCCTTTGGCCTCAGTTTCCTGCGCTGCCTTCCCGTCTGTGGCTGACTGTTGCAGGGTAGTCAGACAAAGGCCCAGCTTCTATTCTGCATCCCAGCTAAGTCTGTAAAAGACGAAAGTCGTCGGGTACCTCCGTTACTGAGATCAAATGTTCATAAATGGAAGCATCGTGTCAATAAATGGGTTTATTATTATTGCTTTCTTATGTAACTCACCAACCCCCGGAGGGCCGTCCCCGCGGTGGGAAAGCCTAAAACAATACACATATGTTTTCACTAATTTAAAATTCATATTGAAGCGGGACGTTTTAGAACTTCCAGGACGCAACGTGCTATTAAGGGACCGTGAGGGGCGGGCAGCCCTTCTGAGATCGCGGGCTAACTGCTACTTTCACCCCTCCTTCTCCGGACCCCTCTCTCCGTCTACAGCTCGCGCCAGGGACCCAAACAGCCTAGGCCGCGAGCTCCTCGCCTCCAACCTCCCGCCTCCCGCGCCAGTACTAGCACCCGCTAGGAGCGCCGCGTGGCCTTTACCGGCCACGGGCCCCGCCCCTGTGCGTCAGCCCGTAGCTGCGCCGAGGCGTTTCCCGGGGGCGTGCCGCGGTTGCTAGGCGACCAGACCGCTCCCCCTCCCGCCCCTGGAGCTGCGTCTCCCCACTTCCCAGCCGGGGCCAGTCGGGAGCGAAAGTGCGCTGAGCTGCAGTGTCTGGTCGAGAGTACCCGTGGGAGCGTCGCGCCGCGGAGGCAGCCGTCCCGGCGTAGGTGGCGTGGCCGACCGGACCCCCAACTGGCGCCTCTCCCCGCGCGGGGTCCCGAGCTAGGAGATGGGAGGCACAGCTCGTGGGCCTGGGCGGAAGGATGCGGGGCCGCCTGGGGCCGGGCTCCCGCCCCAGCAGCGGAGGTAACGGCGCCACGGGGTAACGGGCTGGAGGCGCCACAGGGAGCGGCTGGCGCTGGCAAGCGAAGCTTGGGGGTGGGGAGGAGGTAGAGTGAGCCCTCAGTAGGAGGGACGAGGGCAGGGGTCTGACTGCCTCCCCGGGACCGCCCCCACCTCCTCTCTATCAGGGCCCCCTCCCCCCATCCCTGTCTCACCGGGCGCGGGGGACGGGGCTAGAGCGGAGTTAGAGCAAGAAGAATTTCCACCCCTGGATTCCCTCTGAAACCCTAGATCGGGGTATATGTTAAGGGATTACGAAAATCTAGGACTTTTTGTGGGGCTTTTTATTAAAGGGGGGGAGCCCGGGAGCAATACCTTGGAAAGAAGCCCTGTTGCTTAGAGCGGATAACCAACGGCTGAACTCTTGGGGTTTGCTGTGAGGGGTGCGGTCTAGCTTCGAATGTACAGGTTATGGGCTATGCTGGGTACGGCTTTCTCCGGATCCTATTTTGAGAGATTCCCCACCTTGCGTTGTATTTTACACCTAAATGGAGAGAAGAGACCCTTGCTCCCCGCTTTATTTGCATGCAGACTCTTGTTAATTTCCTCTGGCTGTTAGTCACTAGGCAATTTTGCACGTTTTCTTTTTCTTTATATATGTGGACGCCTATCCTGGTTTGTTTTATCAGGCTTATGGCAAAGGGTCAGTCACATCCAGAATATTTGGTTTCTGTTGGTGAAGCCATTCCCTGTTAAAAATATAAATAATTCTATCAGAATGTGAGCATGTTTTTAAAAAGAGCATTCCAAAAATATTTGTAGCGGTTTTTTTCCCTTTATATTTTTATAACACATCTATAAAGAAAACTCTAGAATGAATTTCACAAAACAGTTTTTAAGGTGACCAGAATATTCCAGGATATTTTAAAAGACGTTAAAAAATTATTCCTCTGCAACATCATCATTGTTATATTCATAGTGTATCATGTAAAATGATACAATGAAATGCTGATGTGTGTAACTGGGAAATCCGTGTTCTTGGTAGCAGATGAAATACATTATTCAGGGCCATCTTGTGGATTAAATAAATCCTCTCCGTCTTTTGTGTTCCCTTACAGTGGTGGAGCCACAGTGTTAAAGAACAGAGAAGTGATCCTTAATCATTTAGAATTTTGCCTCCACCATCCACCAGAAAATGAAGTGGAAAGAGAAGTAAATTCAATACATTTTATAATTTAGAGCATCCTTTTAGCGTTTGCTGTAGTACTTACTGTATTTTTCTGCAGGTTAGGTAGATGTAAGTAGGTAAGTAAGTAAATGAATAAAGAGAAGACAGCCTTAAAAAGGCCTTTTATTTCTTGCCTGTAAGACCCAGAAGTGTGAAGACTGGAGCTAGTCTTCCCATTAACATGGGGAAGACAGGCTCAGAGGAGAAGGTAGCACTGGGGAAGACAGGCTCAGAGGAGAAGGTAGCACAGCCAGTGTTAGAGCTGAGATTAGAATCCAAGTCTCTGACTTGAGAAACTATTACCTCTGTTAGTTTTTTCTGGTCTGTTTTTTTCTCTGTGAGCTTCAGTTTCAAACTAGCCTTTATTTTCAAGTAGTAAGTTATTATGAGATCCTTCTGATAGTCCTTATTGTGTTTAACAACATTCAGAAGGACTTGTTTCAACTGTTTTAAAATACAAACCTAGAAATGCTGTCCTTGAAAAACAAAAGTTGGATTTCCTCTGTACCTCTTCCAAATACCCCAGTTGTTTGTATTCAGTGCCAAAATGTAGTGTAGACATTTATTTCTATTACTGTTCCTTGTAGCAGATATGAAGCAGTTAAGACATAGGATTCTATATTCTTCAGTTCCTGACAGATTTTGTCTGTAATCCTTTTAACTAGGTTGGGGGATGGTGTCTATGACACCTTCATGATGATAGATGAAACCAAATGTCCCCCCTGTTCAAATGTACTCTGCAATCCTTCTGAACCACCTCCACCCAGAAGACTAAATGTAAGTAAAAGAAGTCATTCTTTGTACATGAATTGTTTTGGAAAGGAGGAAGTGCTACTTAATGCTCAAGGTACACTTATGTATCACTGACAACCAGACTTTTTTTTGGTTTATTTTTGATTTCTCTTGACTTTGGAATAACAATGTCTGTGGTCCAAATTTAGCTTTTCAGAATGATTTCAGTTTGGAGCTCACCTTTTTATTTCAGTTTCCACTGGGATAAATATATAGCACTAGGAAAAAAATAATATGCTACTTTTATTTAGGTAATGCTTATTTTTGTATAGGATGATATACACCTAGTATTACAAAGGCTCCTTTTAACAAAAATAAGAAACAGAAAACATGTCAGAATTCATAGATCTGCAGGAGTTTTTTTTCCCCTGCACGGTGGAAATGCAGTCTTCGTTTATTAGTATACTAAAGAGAACCATTTTATAGATAGATGATAACTACAACAGTTTGGTTTTTAATGCACTTAATCATTTTGGGGACTGCAGACACTTAGCTTTTTTTTTTTTTTTTTTTTTTTTGAGGTGGAGTCTCTCTCTGTCACCCAGGCTGGAGTGCAATGGCATGATCTTGGCTCACTGCAACCTCTGCCTCCCGGGTTGAAGTGATTCTCCTGCCTTAGCCTCCTGAGTAGCTGGGATTACAGGCGCGTGCCACCACGCCTGGCTAATTTTTGTATTTTTAGTAGTCAGGGGTTTCACCATGTTGGTCAGGCTGGTCTTGAACTCCTGACCTCGTGATCCACCCGCCTCGGCTTCCCAAAGTGCTGGGATTACAGGCGTGAGCCACCGTGCTTGGCAGCTTTTTTTTTTTTTTAACTTAAGATAAAATTAATTTGCATTCCTTCAGCATGCATAGAGTGGTAGGCAGAGCAGGGTTTGGCCAAGTTCCATGACAAAGAGAGGCTATCCTATGACTTTAAAATTTCCTGCATATGTCATCAGATGAACAAACTGAATAATTGAATTGACTCATTTGTAATATTTCTCTTTCACGTTTCTGTGTTTAAGACCTGAAATTGTTTCTATATGGAAAAATCACTTCTATTTTTCATAGTCCTTCCTGTGGTCATCAGTTTTTGCTTAAAATCAACCTTTTTCCTTTTTTTTTTTTTTTTTTTTCCTGAGACGCAGTCTTACTCTGTCTTCCAGGCTGGAGTGCAGTGGTGTCATGTCAGCTCATTGCAACCTCCACCTCCCGGGTCCAAGCAATTCTCCTGCCTCAGCCTTCCTGAGTAGCTGGGATTACAGGCGACTGCCACCACACCCAGCTAAGTTTTGTATTTTTAGTAGAGACAGGGTTTCACCATGTTAGTCAGGCTGGTCTAACTCCTGACCTTAAGTGGTCCACTTCCCTCGGCCTCTGGAAGTGCTGGGATTACAGGCGTGAGCCACCGCACCCGGCCCTTTCCCCACTTTCAACACTAGTAGTATACAAAACGTGAGCTAAAAATATTTTGAAGGCTGGTCACCCTATTTTTCGTCCCCTTTTTGGAGTGTAGTGGGGTTTCTTTCCATTCTTTGCAAGTTGTTTCTTTAATATGTCAAAATGTCTAAGAACTTCAGAACCATATACATCTTGTGTTGCCCATCAGATTGCTTGGTTACTTGCTGCCAATTGGTTCACCTCTATAGGAAACTATTTGCAATTGGGTTGAAGTGTTAACATCTGACTTTAAGTCATTTTAACTGATTTTTTTTTTTTTTTTTTTTGAGATGGACTCTCACTCTGTCACCTAGGCTGGAGTGCAGTGGCGCAATCTTGGCTTACTGCAACCTCCCGGGTTCAAGTGATTCTCCTGCTTCACCCTCCCAAGTAGCTGGGATTATAGGCACCAACCAACATGCCTGGCTAATTTTTGTATTTTTAGTAGAGATGGGGTTTCACTGTATTGGTCAGGCTGGTTTTGAACTCCTGACCTTGTGATGCACCCACCTCAGCTCCCCAAAGTGCTGGGATTACAGGCGCAAGCCACCGCGCCCAGCCAAGTCATTTTTACTTTGATTCAGAGTTAGCCGATGCTATTTACCTTCCAGTAGGTTACTTACATTGTATGTTTCAGGATCAAAAATTAATTTCTTACTGCATGGTGTTAGGCATGACAGTTTTGTGAGGGAGCAAGAAGATTTTAGATGTCTTACTCATTACTCATTTCTTTTTTTTTTTTTTTTTTTTTTTTGAGACCGAGTCTCGCTCTCTCGCCCAGGCTGGAGTGCAGTGGCACAATCTTGGCTTGCTGCAACCTCCATCTCCCGGGTTCAAGCAGTTCTCCCTGCCTCAGCCTCCCAAGTAGCTGGGATTACAGGCATCTGCCACCATGCCTGGCTAATTTTTGTATTTTTAGTAGAGATGGGGTTTCACCATGTTGGCCAGGATGGTCCCGAACCCCTGACCTCAGGTCATCCACCCACCTCAGCCTCCCAAAGTGCAGGCTTTACAGGCGTGAGCCACCACGCCTGGCTGTCTTTACTCATTTTGCTGAAAAAGAAAATAAAAATAAAAAATGCCTTTTGACCTCTTGGTGCCACTTACATTTCATTATGCCATGACTCTATCCCGAGATCCTGTTACTTTTTTTTACAAAGTTTTCTAGCTTCATTTATTCAAGATGCTCCTACATTCTCATGGTAAACTATAAATCATCTGCCCATAGGCTTTTATTGGGTTAAGTTTTGTGTTACAGGGATTTAGGGTTTGGGAGCTGGGGAAAAGGTAGGGTTTTATATCTGAGTGAGAAGGATATTCCTTTATTCCTTTTCAATTTCTCAGCAAGATTTTTTTTTTTTTTTTTTTTTAAGACAGAGTCTCGCTCTGTCACTGAGGCTGGAGTGCAGTGGCACTATCTCGGCTCATTGCAAGCTCCGCCTCCTGGGTTCATGCCATTCTCCTGCCTCAGCCTCCCGAGTAGCTGGGACTACAGGCACCCACCACCACACCTGGCTAATTTTTTGTATTTTTAGTAGAGAGAGGGTTTCATCGTGTTAGCCAGGATGGTCTCGATCTCTTGACCTCGTGATCCGCCCGCCTTGGCCTCCCAAAGTGCTGGGATTACAGGCGTGAGCCACCGTGCCTGGCCTCTCAGCAAGATTTTTAAGACTTGATTAATACAGTAGAAGATTCTATTTAAAATGCCAGAAGCCCATCAAATTAGCAGGGTATGTGAAGCATTCTTATGAAATAAAACATGATAAATATGACATTATTCATGTCTCTGGATATAATTACATGGTTAAGAAAATACTTGGTAGAGTCAGTCATATACATTGCTTGGTTATTGTGATTATAACCCTAGACTAGAAATATTTAGTGTTTTTTTTTTCAATAGGTTTTTGGGGAACAGGTGGTGTTTGGGTTACATGAATAAGTTCTTTAGTGGTGATTTCTGAGATTTTGGTGCACCCATTACCCGAGCAGTGTATACTAGACCCAGTGTGTAGTCTTTTACCTCTCACTCCTCTACCACCCTATCCCCCAAGTCCCCAAAGTCCATTGTATCATTCTTAAGCCCTTTCATCGTCTTCATAGCTTTGCTCCCACTTATGAATGAGAACATACCATGTTTGGTTTTCCATTTCTGAGTTACTTCACTTAGAATAATGGTCTCCAATTCCATCCAGGTTGCTGTGAATGCCATTATTTCATTCTTTTTTATGGCTAAATAGTATTCTATGGTATATATATATATACCATAATTTCTTTATCTACTCCTTGATTGATGGGCATTTGGGGAAATATTTAGTGTTTTAAAACAATTATAGTTTAATATGTGTGAACACTGTAGATTTTTTTAGAACAATGGAAGGAAGGTTTTATTTATAACACATCAGACTTGATATGTAATTGATTCAGGCCAGTATTTGAGTTATTTACAGGAAAGGAAAGAAAGTTAAGAAGAGAACCCCTCCCTGAAAGGATTTCCTATTTAATGTGCTGGGAAAACTGGCTAGCCATATGTAGAAAGCTGAAACTGGATCCCTTCCCTACACCTTATGCAAAAATTAATTCAAGATGGATTAAAGACTTAAATGTTAGACCTAAAACCATAAAAACCCTAGAAGAAAACCTAGGCAATACCATTCAGGACATAGGCATAGGCAAGGACTTCATGTCTAAAACACCAAATGCAACGGCAACAAAAGCCAAAATTGATAAATGGGATCTAATTAAACTAAAGAGCTTCTGTACAGCAAAGTAAACTACCATCAGAGTGAACAGGCAACCTACAGAATGGGAGAAAATTTTTACAATCTACCCATCTGACAAAGGGCTAATATCCAGAATCTACAAAGAACTTAAACAAATTTACAAGAAAAAATCAAACAGCCCCATCAAAAAGTGGGCAAGGAATATGAACAGACACTTCTCAAAAGAAGACATTGATGCAGCCAACAGACACATGAAAAAATGCTCACCATCACTGGCCATCAGAGAAATGCAGATCAAAACCACAATGAGATACCATCTCACACCAGTTAGAATGGCGATCATTAAAAAGTCAGGAAGCAACAGGTGCTGGAGAGGATGTGGAGAAATAGGAACGCTTTTACACTGTTGGTGGGACTGTAAACTAGTTCAACCATTGTGGAAGACAATGTGGCAATTCCTCAAGGATCTAGAACTAGAAATACCATTTGACCCAGCCATCCCATTACTGGGCATATACCCAAAGGATTATAAATCATGCTGCTATAAAGACACATGCACATGTATGTTTATTGTGGCACTATTCACAATAGCAAAGACTTGGAACCAACCCACATGTTCATCAATGATAGACTGGATTAAGAAAATGTGGCACATATACACCATGGAATACTGTGCAGCCATAAAAAAGGATGAGTTCATGTCCTTTGTAGAGACATGGATGAAGCTAGAAACCGTCATTCTGAGCAAACTTGCAAGGACAGAAAACCAAACACCACATGTTCTCACTCATAGGTGCGAATTGAACAATGAGAACACTTGGACACGGTGGGGAACATCACACACCAGGACCTGTCGTGGGGTGGGAGGAGGGGGGAGGGATAGCATTAGGAGATATACCTAATGTAAATGACGAGTTAATGGGTGTAGCACACCAACATGGCACATGTATACATATGTAACATATGTAACCTGCGTGTGGTGCACATGTACCCTATAACTTATAATAATAATAATAAAAATATAATAATAATAATAAAAAAGATAACCCCTCCCTGTGTGGAAAAATTACCTCCCAGAATTCTCCAGATTCACTGGAGAAGATGATATTGATGGTGGACTACACTGAAGTAGCCTGCTCTGTTCTGGAAGGCATGCTTCAAGAGAGACATAAAGTGCAGCCTATGTTGAGAATGTGAACAGGAGAGTGGGTGAGGTAAGGCAGATGTAGTGGGGATGGTGAACCTACAGAATGGTGGAGGCAGGGACAGCACAGCCCCTTTTAGGTACCCAGAGGGTTCCTACTTGAAATTTGGACACTTCTGTGTAGTTCCCAAAGGCAAGGTACAACTTATTTTGCAAGGAGAGAAATTTAGGCTTACTTTAAGGAAAAACCATGAGTCAGGGATTCTAAGTGACATCTTTAATATTATTGTAATAGTTCTATGGAAATTACATTTCTGATATGTATCTGTTCTTATTAATGTTGTGTACCTGAGACCCTCTCATTATCACAAACAGAAATGAAGACCTTCAGAGCCAGTCCAGCCTTACACGTAAGCAGAGTAGGGGAAATTCCCAGGGACAGACGCTGCACCACAAATACCTTTCCTAACAGCTTGTCACTGGTAACTTCAGTTCCTAGAGAGGCATTCCTTTTCATTAGGGCATTGATCTTCTGTTGAAGTTCAAATATCCATGGAGAGGTAACACAGTACATTGTATAGTGAGTGGAAAGCATGTTTTATGTGGGGAGAAAGTGGGTGAGGCAATTCCGTGTATCCTAAGTGAAGGCCTATTGTGGGGGCCCTCATTGAGCAGAAGGCATAGTTAGTGCTAGACGCATGATGGAGGGAGATCAGGCTGGAGAAATGGAGGAAGCCGCCAGCAAGAGAAGAGAGAAAAGGGGAAGGGGAAGGGTGTATAGGAACTTAAACTTTAATGTATTGAGAATTTTGCTGAATTGTAACCAGTGTCTTTTAAATATTTTATAGTTGGTGAAATTATTATTTTTAATTAGAATTTGATTCACACAACATCCTGCAAGTAGATATTATTATCCACATCTTACAGATAAAGAAACTGAGGCTCAGGAAGGCAACAGGGACCTACAGCTTTTTTTTTTTTTTTTTTTTTGAGAAGTAGTCTTGCCCTGTCGCCCAGGATAGAGTGCAGTGATGCAATCTTGGCCCACTGCAACCTCTGCCTCCTGGGTTCAAGCAATTCTTCTTCCTCAGCCTCCTGAGTAGCTGGGATTACAGGCACACACTACCACACCTGGCTAATTTTTGTATTTTTAGTAGAGATGGGGTTTCACCATGTTGGTCAGGCTCGTCCCCAACTCCCGACCTCAGGTGATCTGCCCACTTTGGCCTCCAAAAGTGCTGGGATTACAGGCGTGAGCCACCACACCTGGCTGGACCTACAGCTTTTAAGTAGTGTAGCCAGGACCCCAACCCAGGCCTTCTGACTCCCTGTTTCTTCAGGATGTGTTTCAAAGACTTAAGCAGTAAATATTTAGATGAATTAAAGTTAGGTAGTAAAGATTTTAAGGAAAACTAGCCAAGATGCTTGTAGATGTTTGTTTTTGTTATGTAAATCTAATTAAAACCAAATAATTAAAATTCTTTTCCTAGTTCCACCAAATTTATTCCCTAATAGATTGCAGGCTGGAATGCAGTGGTGCGATCTCAGCTCACTGCAACCTCCACCTCCCCAGTTCAAGCAATTCTCCTGCCTCAGCCTCCCAAGTAGCTGGGAATGCAGGTGCGCGCCACTACGCCTGGCTAATTTTTGTATTTTTAGTAGAGACAGGGTTTTGCCATGTTGGCCATGCTGGTCTCGAACTCCTGACCTCAGGTGATCCACCCGCCTCGGCCTTCCAAAGTGCTGGGATTACAGGTGTGAGCCACCACGGCTGGCCAATATTTAGATTCTATATGTGGGCCTGTTTATTTTCTTGACCAGTGATAGTTTTCTATTTTGGTATCAGAGAGACTATATGTACTTGGGCAATATCTGGCCCCTTTATTTTAAAACTAAATGCCAAGCTGTGGCTACATTTGAACTGGCTCCTTGACTTTGTTTAAGATCATATAATACATCATGTAACTGTAAGTGTTCTATAAATATTTAAATTGATTAAATGACTTTTAAAAAGGAGCAAGCAGGACTTTTATAACTGAATTACGGGGGCTGTCTGAGGTATGCCAACACTTAAATTTTTGTCATTTATGTTTTTTAATATTGTTTTTTGTTATTTATTTTTGGTAATTTATAAATACAATTTTTGTTTTGCTTAGGTTATATTAAAATTTCTAGTTTTTAAAGGTTTGACTACTTTTTAGCTTACATTTTTAGAGATTATAACTGTAGCCCAGAGCTCCTCCGGAATTAATCTGTTCCTCTTACTACAGGCTCTCTGAAATTATCAAACAGATAAAGGACATAATTCTTCAGGGTCCATTGAGAAAAACAGTTGTTCTTTTAAGTATCCTAGACTTCCTTTTATTTATCCTAGACTTCCTTTTATTTTTAAGAACAGATTTAACATTTTTATCTTTCCAGCCCCTTCTTAGTATTTTTCACTTATTTCTTTTTTTATTTTATTTTTTTGAGACAGTCTCTCACTCTGTTGCCAAGGCTGGAATGCAGTAGCGTGATCTTGGCTCACTGTAGCCTCCACTTCCCAGGTTCAAGCGATTCTCCTGCCTCAGCCTCCCAAGTAGCTGGGATTACAGGCATGCATCCATGCATCACATCTGGCTTTTTTTTTTTTTTTTGTATTTTTAGTAGAGGTGGGGTTTTGCCATGTTGGCCAGCCTGGTCTCAAACTTCTGGCCTCAAGTGATCTGCCCGTCTTGGCCTCCCAAAGTTCTGGGGTTACAGGGATGAACCACCATACCTGGCCAAAGTTTTTATTTTATTTTTTATTTTATTGATTTATTTTTTTGAGACGGAGTCTCACTCTGTCGCTCAGGCTGGAGTGCAGTGGCATGATTTGGCTCACTGCAACCTCCACCTCCTGGGTTCAAGCAATTCTCCTGCCTCAGCCTCCCAAGTAACTGGGATTACAGGTGTGCACCATCATGCCCAGCTAATTTTTGTATTTTTAGTAGAGACAGAGTTTCACCATGTTGGCCAAGCTGGTATCGAACTTCTAACCTCAAGTGATCCACCTGCCTTGGCCTCCCAGAGTGCTGGGATTACAGGCGTGAGACACCACACGTGGCCAAAAAATTTTATTTTTTAAGGTGTCCAGTATGATGTTTTGATACACATAGTGAAATGGTTACTACAGTCAAGCCAATTAAATGTATCTATCATCTCACATAGTTACCCTTTTTTTGTAATAGTAATTAATTAATATTAATTTTACTTAGGTGTTTGGTTGTTTTTGTCCTTCTTTTCCTCCATCTTATTTCAAAAAACCTTGTTTCAGTTCAAAGAATCTTAATTCAGAGGTGTAAGTAGAGCTTTTTTCTGTGGGTCAGTATCCCTTCCAGGAGAAGATTGTGGAAAACCTGGTGAAAGGAGTAGTACTCCTTTATCAAGTAGGCTCTTGCTAGGGAAGAGTTTTATAAGTACCCCAGGGACCTTGGACCCTCACTGTTATCAGGTACTTGAAGAATTGGTCCAGATGATCTCAAAAGTTCTCTTTAACTTAGAGCTTTTGTGATTCAATGAACTGAGTTAAAAGGCTACAGTAATTTATATGGGGACCTGGGAGTAGATGATTGAGCACGTTGTTGATTCCAGGCCATAGTCAACATTCAGCCCTGCTAGTCTACAGGTGCTGGGAGAACCTGGTGCTGAGTTATGTTAATGGCAAGGGCCCTTGAATAGGAGCCAGAAGACCTATTCTGGTTCAAATTCTGCTTCTGTCACTTGATAGTACCTTCTTGTTTACACTTCAGTATGCATTATTTTCATCATGCTATATGTCCTTAATATTTGGGAAGATACTTGAAACAATTAGTAAACAGTGTAAGGTAGTGCATATATTATACATAATCAAGTACCAAATTATGTGGCACAAACTGGAGAAGCTGCAGTTAGGATATAAGATTAATTAGTATGGGCTTGGCATAGTTCTAAGTGGAAGAGAGAGGAATTAAACTGGGCTTTGAAGGAATGTAGGAGTCGAGGGGATGAGGGGGTGGAAGGATTCTCAGTACAAGGACACATCTGTAAGAAGGAACCTGGCATGTGGGGGGCATGGTAAGATCATCTTGTCTTGAACAAAGCAAGGCATGTATGGGGGTTAGGGATGGCCGCAATATTCAGGGAGTCTGAAAATTAATATAACACAAGTTGCTAGAGACTCTTGCTTTTCTTATCTTCTTTTTGGGTCATTTTAACCTTAAAGTAAACATGACTGGACATGTTTTGTTGTTATTCAGTTGGAGGAGGGAGGATTCTTCCATCTTTCTAATGTTTTTAATGACTTATATTCATTTTCTCTTTCATAGATGACCACTGAGCAGTTTACAGGAGATCATACTCAGCACTTTTTGGATGGAGGTGAGATGAAGGTAGAACAGCTGTTTCAAGAATTTGGCAACAGAAAATCCAATACTATTCAGTCAGATGGCATCAGTGACTCTGAAAAATGCTCTCCTACTGTTTCTCAGGGTAAAAGTTCAGATTGCTTGAATACAGTAAAATCCAACAGTTCATCCAAGGCACCCAAAGTGGTGCCTCTGACTCCAGAACAAGCCCTGAAGCAATATAAACACCACCTCACTGCCTATGAGAAACTGGAAATAATTAATTATCCAGAAATTTACTTTGTAGGTCCAAATGCCAAGAAAAGACATGGAGTTATTGGTGGTCCCAATAATGGAGGGTATGATGATGCAGATGGGGCCTATATTCATGTACCTCGAGACCATCTAGCTTATCGATATGAGGTGCTGAAAATTATTGGCAAGGGGAGTTTTGGGCAGGTGGCCAGGGTCTATGATCACAAACTTCGACAGTACGTGGCCCTAAAAATGGTGCGCAATGAGAAGCGCTTTCATCGTCAAGCAGCTGAGGAGATCCGGATTTTGGAGCATCTTAAGAAACAGGATAAAACTGGTAGTATGAACGTTATCCACATGCTGGAAAGTTTCACATTCCGGAACCATGTTTGCATGGCCTTTGAATTGCTGAGCATAGACCTTTATGAGCTGATTAAAAAAAATAAGTTTCAGGGTTTTAGCGTCCAGTTGGTACGCAAGTTTGCCCAGTCCATCTTGCAATCTTTGGATGCCCTCCACAAAAATAAGATTATTCACTGCGATCTGAAGCCAGAAAACATTCTCCTGAAACACCACGGGCGCAGTTCAACCAAGGTCATTGACTTTGGGTCCAGCTGTTTCGAGTACCAGAAGCTCTACACATATATCCAGTCTCGGTTCTACAGAGCTCCAGAAATCATCTTAGGAAGCCGCTACAGCACACCAATTGACATATGGAGTTTTGGCTGCATCCTTGCAGAACTTTTAACAGGACAGCCTCTCTTCCCTGGAGAGGATGAAGGAGACCAGTTGGCCTGCATGATGGAGCTTCTAGGGATGCCACCACCAAAACTTCTGGAGCAATCCAAACGTGCCAAGTACTTTATTAATTCCAAGGGCATACCCCGCTACTGCTCTGTGACTACCCAGGCAGATGGGAGGGTTGTGCTTGTGGGGGGTCGCTCACGTAGGGGTAAAAAGCGGGGTCCCCCAGGCAGCAAAGACTGGGGGACAGCACTGAAAGGGTGTGATGACTACTTGTTTATAGAGTTCTTGAAAAGGTGTCTTCACTGGGACCCCTCTGCCCGCTTGACCCCAGCTCAAGCATTAAGACACCCTTGGATTAGCAAGTCTGTCCCCAGACCTCTCACCACCATAGACAAGGTGTCAGGGAAACGGGTAGTTAATCCTGCAAGTGCTTTCCAGGGATTGGGTTCTAAGCTGCCTCCAGTTGTTGGAATAGCCAATAAGCTTAAAGCTAACTTAATGTCAGAAACCAATGGTAGTATACCCCTATGCAGTGTATTGCCAAAACTGATTAGCTAGTGGACAGAGATATGCCCAGAGATGCATATGTGTATATTTTTATGATCTTACAAACCTGCAAATGGAAAAAATGCAAGCCCATTGGTGGATGTTTTTGTTAGAGTAGACTTTTTTTAAACAAGACAAAACATTTTTATATGATTATAAAAGAATTCTTCAAGGGCTAATTACCTAACCAGCTTGTATTGGCCATCTGGAATATGCATTAAATGACTTTTTATAGGTCAATGCATCTTTGTTATTATCGTCAGATGTATTTCAACTGATGTATTATACTATTGGTTTAAATCTCTTTCTCTCAAGATAGAAGGTGTAGCAAAAGTATCCCAACTACTCCTCGCTTCTAGTGTCCCTCGGCATCTGTTCTGGAGGGGTAATTTGGGATGTGGTGTTAGTTGTGGCTGAGAGCCAGTGCTAGGTCCCTTGCCCCACTAGGCCATTCTCTAGGCTCATTCTAGGTGAAAGAGCTCACAGCAGACTGTGGGGTGGGGGAGCACCAGGAAGCTGTTGGTGACCTGGACAACTGGTGTCCCTGGTTTTCAGTGACTCGCTCCTCTTCCCTTCAGTTCTCTGATGTTTGGTGTTATTATTTTATGTTGTTATTTTGCCTCTGATTTGTTTCCTAGTCACTCAAAGCATTTTACAGAAGCCTTACCACTTTACTAAATAACCCTGTAAGGTACTGATTTAAAAACTGAGTCATATGCATCCCTCCTCCTTTCCTCTCCCATGCCCAAGGAAGATAAAACAGCTTCTCTGCCACAATTGACCCAGAGTGGTAAAGATAGAGAATCAGCATGAAAACTGCAGTTCCCCAGCTTTGTGGTACTCCACGGACCAGCCTCCTTGCTGCATTTTCATAGAATCTCTTCCTTATAAAAGTAATCACTCTCGGATAAACCTTACTACAGTTTAAAAATGCTTCCCTCTTCTCTTTACAGCTACCTGCCACTTCAATGTGCCACATTTTTCCCCCCACTTTCACGTTAAGCTTAATGCTATTCCCTAGATCTGAGTGAACTTCAGTTAGAAGAAGAAAACTAAAAATCCAGAAACTGGTGATAATCAAGTTTTCCCTTTTTATGTTTCTTAATTTTATTCTCTTCAACAGCTTTTCTTTTTCTCTGCTAAGATTTAAACAGTGAGGGCTGATAATAAAACTAATTGTTAAGCCAGTGTCCTACTTACAAGGGTGGAGACGGGACAGAAGCTAACTCACTGCTACTGGGTTTTGTTTGTTGTTTCCTGTCCCTTGCTCTATTTCTGTCCTCTTCCAGAACAAAAGTATGCTCAAGTTCTATCCTAAATGTGTGCTCTTGGCTGGGTATTAGTGGCTCATGCCTGTAATCCCAGCACTTTGGGAGGCTGAGGTGGGTGGATTCCTTGAGCCCAGGAGTTCAAGACCAGCCTGGGCAACATGGTGAAACCCTGCCTCTACAAAAAATACAAAAATTAGCCAGGCCTAGTGGCACATGCCTGTAATCCCAGCTACTTGGGAGGCTGAGGTGGGAGGATCACTTGAGCTGAGATCATGCCACTGCACTCCAGCCTAGGCAACAGAGTGAGACTCTGTCTAAAAAACAAACCAAAAAAAGTGTGTTCTTTAAAGTAGAATATTTGCTTTTTACAATATAGTTCTCAGAATGATCCAGTTCCATTTATTATTCTAGAATGTGGTGCAAACTCAATGACATTGGAAGAGACTCTTTTTGTTGGGCAGTGTAGGAACAAGAAAAGAAAATAAAAATGCCATGAGTATATTATTTAAGGAACTTTTGTTTTATCCAAAAGTAGTCATGATTGCTGTAGCATAGGCTGTGAAAAATGAGAGAGTGCAAATCTCTCTCATTTAAATGTCCACAGTGGCTTTAGTCTCCCAAGTACAAGGGCCAGATGGCAGAGAACAGCTTAAACTGAGCCTTCAGCCTCATTAATAGGAGGAAGTCTTGGTACTTTTGGTGACTAAGAAACTGGATTATTTAAAACCTTAATTATCTCCTTTACTCCTGGTTTACAGAAGGCAATAAATATACAACTCCTTTAGATCCCTCTAACTCCTGCTGAATTTTCTTTCTTTTTTTCTAAGTCTGCATCCTATCTCTTGATTCCATTGCCTGAAGAAGCTGTGTGAAATTAGTCTGGTTATTGGTTTTCTTGTCTGATAGTGGCATCTTGATCTCTTCAGATGTCACACTAAATGCTGCTCATAACCCATCCTCCTCTTCTTTATTCATCACTGCCTTCTTCAAGGGAGGTCTTGAAACTGCCTCATCTACCTCATGATCTGCTAGTCGAGATAGTGACTCTTTGGAAGTTGGTAGTCCAATGTCTGCTTCCCCGCATTAACCACATTGCGTAGGTTTGGGAATTTTGCAGGTGCTAAATCATCATGGCCAGGAAGATGAAACACCTTGAGAAATGGGAACATCTCTTCACTGTGTTCTTGGATCAGCCTTCTTTCAACTACCAAGAAATGGATGATTTCTCTGCCAACTCCAGGAAGTAGTACAGCATGATTGAATCCTTCTTCAGTGAATCTTTTCATTGTAACTTAGGGTGTAAAAGCTCATATCTACTCAAAAAACTCAAATCTACTCTTTCAGTAGATATGAGCTTACATTGACTTATGAATGGTTTTCCTGTAGGCCCAACAGTGTCATGACCCTCCAGTTGAAACAAAGCATGAGTTATTTTTATATCGAGTCCTTGAACTGCTAGCCAGGTAGATGTTTCCTTGAAGTCCAGAGCAGGATCCAAGTCAGATGAAGGAGGTGGCACACCTGGCTTAACTGCAGATCAGGGAGCATTGAACCTCTACAATTTGCTGCATTGGATTTCTGCATGGGTTTCTCACTGAATAGTAAATTAGAGAAAATGCTACTTTTACTATTTTGCATTTTATATCAACATTAGCAGCCTGTTCCCACTCAGGTGCTGTCCAAGGCACATGTTTCCTTGGGATGTTTGGACAGAATGATCTGGCTTGATGTATTTCTTGGGCTCTGGTACCACATCATAGAGTTGGTTAAATGTAGCCAGCAGCAGTGTCAAGACAGCTGACACTGTCTTCCAAGAGTGAATGCATTGGCCTTTGGAACTGCTGCTAAAGCCATGTGTGGGGTGGCGAGCACATCTTTAGGTGGCAGCAAGGCTATATCTGATTGACACAGATCTGAAGTCTCTAACACCATATTGCTGTTGTCCTGAATTTTCTAACTTGGAGAAATTTAAGGATCTCCTGCATTATCTAGGCAGAGCATATGTTGAGGTTGTTTTGCCAGTTGTTATCAGTGTTGAAGAACTGCTCCTGTAAGCAAACTGTTAAAAGCATTACTACCCCATATGCATCTGATGTACACTGTGTTTTGGTGTTTGTGTTTTTAGTGAGAGTTCTAGCCAGTACTGTGCCTGAACTTGGGAGAGAAAGGGGCCTGTGGCTGAGGTTGGTGCGTGCTCTATTTCTGTGTATCGAATGGACTACAAGGTTACTGAAACTGGGCTAAGGGAAAGTGTATAGACAACTCATTACACTGTAGACAGATTTTAGAAAGCTACAGGAAGGCAAATGGATGTTTCTGCCTCAATTTGGCAACCGAGAGAGTGATGCAGAGCAGAGTCATTGAAGTTGGCATACCTGTCTTCTGCAGGCCAATTCAAGTTTGAGGAGAGTGGGCTGCTTAAAAACATGGTGCTCGTCCACATGGATTTGAGGAAGTTTATGGTTGGGTTTCAAGCTTAGGGACAAGTTGTGGTTTTTAGAGGCAGTAACTCTATGCCACCTTATTGGCCACTGTTAAAAGTTTCACTTGGATCCCTGCCCAGCCATAGCAATGAGTGACTGAATTGGATCAGAGTTAGTACAGAAATTCAGACTGTCTCTTCCTCAGTTACTGGATTGTTCTTTAGCCATTTTTCTTCTAGTCATTTCAGTCAAACTGGTTAGGTTAGGTGACTTACTGAGTTCTAAATTGACAAATTTTAATTTCCAAGTTGTTTCTGACACGGTGAGAGTTGGGTTAGAATTTTTATTTCATTCCCCAAGTCATTTTTTCTTTTTCTTTATTTTTTCTTTTTGAGACAGAGTCTCGCTCTGTCGTCCAGGCTGGAGTGAAGTGGCGCAGTGTTGTCTGCAGCCTCAACCTCCCAGGCTCAGGTGATTCTCCCATCTCAACCTCCAGAGTAACTGGGACTACAGTCACGTGCTACCATGCCTGGCTAATTTTTTGTATATCTGTAGAGAGGGGGTTTCACCATGTTGCTCGGGCTGGTCTTGAACTCCTGGGCTCAAGTGATCCATGTGCCTTACCCTCTCAAAGTGCTGGGATTATAGGTGTGAGCGACCGTGCCCAGCCTCATTTTTTCTTTCAATATGGAAAATTGGCTAATCCACCTAATACCTGCTCATCTTCTAGTATTCTATCCTACCATCTACCCTCAGAGTTATTGATGTACTCTTTCATCATGTGCTATCATGATTTCTCCTTAGATTAGAAAGTAAGCTTCAAATGGGAGTGTGTCTTCATATTGTTCTGAATTAACAGATTTTGATGCCCGCTGATCATGTGCAGATGATGGAAGCTCATTTCCTTCCATGAACCAGGAGCATGCTCGCCTCTTCTTTTAAGTTGACCCACACAATCTCTGATGTCTTCTTTTTGGGAAAGGGTAATGAGATAAGGATTAAGGACATTTTCTTCTGGTCCAGTGTTAGATACAGTTACCTTGATAATAATGAAAAAAAAATGAATACCACCAAAACCTAACTATGATGTAAGGATTCTGCTTCTGCCCCACAGGGGCTCTGAAAGAGTCTAGCCTGGATCTTCTTTCCCAGAGGAAGTTTGACTTATGACCATATTAGTATGCTTTATTCCTTGGTGTTTAAGGGAGTTGGGGCAGACAGGTTAGCTGGCTAATGTCATTACAATTTAGTTTTTGTGACAATCTGTTAAGAAGGGGGCTTATTGCATAATCAAAAAAGAACAATAAAAAAATAAAAATTTCTACTGTGAAACTATTTCAATCTGTAGCAGCTGGTCATGTTAAAACACTTTCTGTTTTGCTTAATTCGTAACTAGGCATAATTAAAGTTAAATGCTAAATTTTAGGTAGCAGCTGATAAATGGTTCTAAGCTTTCCTGACAGAATACTCCTACTACTTTGGTGAATCATGGAAAACTCTTTCTCCTTTATTTTTAATTATTTCTTTTCCATCTGTTATTGATGTCATCAACACGGAAGTTGGAAAGGTGACAATGATTGTTCTAGACTGCCTCTGTAATGCTTTTTCTCCTCTGAGAATTAAAAATACATACTTACACCTTGAGCCAGGTAGAATTGCCAGAACATGTTTTCCTCCGTGTCTTCGGTCTAGATGACCAATCTGTAGAACGCTATAACTTACTATGCGTAGAGCAGCGGCAGGCATTCATGCTATGGAAAACCTGGAGTCAGTACAAATAAGGAGTAAGAAAAGGCCAGGGATTGGCAAATCAAAGAAGAGTTCTCTTCTGCCAGGGATTAGCCTCCTAGTTTTAAATATATTTTTAATATCCCCATTTTAACATACTCCATTTTCACCTTCAACCTATCCTTCCTGAAGCCCAAACTTTTAAAGAATTTACTTCCAGACCTGGCCTTCAGCCTAATATGATTAGGGTGTTTTTCTGAGTGTCTGTCAAATTATGCTGGCTAATTTCAATGAGAAAAGATTTTAGAGTCACAGTGAACCCATCCATAAAAGGACTAAAAGCTCTCTCTGGTCCCTGAGATCCACAACCCCTGAGAGAAGCCAGAACTACAAATGCATCGTCTAGACTTTGAAGAAGCAGGGTATGATTCTTAATATAGCCCACCCATCGCTAAGTCAAGCCTAGACTCTAATATTTTTCTATAACAGGAGAAGCCTCCCTGACTGGAGACTAGAGTCTCACATCTTCTGCCACCACATGAATAGACTAAAAAGAAAGGAGAGTCCCACATCAGGCCAAGTGGTGACCTGTGGCTATTTCAGCTCAGAATGTCAGCCTCTGAAGCATCAGGTTTGAATGACTTTGGTGTCATGGGATTCTGTCCATTGTCCGTTTGAGTCTGCTGACATGCTTCCTCTGGAAAGTGCAGTTTGGCATGGATGAGTCAGTGGTTTTTTATTTTGGGGTGTTTTTTAAAAAATAAAAATGAATTGCTTTGAGAATTTTTTAGCATCCTGATTGTTTCAAAACCAAGGCTGAGAACTGTCGCAGGCAGGAACTTGTGTGCTGTACTCTGAAGGAGGTGAGTACCAGTCGCTGGGTAATTAGGGCTGTGCTGCAGGTACAGCCTCTCTTGCTTGATGACAATGATACAGAAAGAAAATCTTGGGAAGGGAAAAGGCTGCCCTGAGAAACAGCCTTACAGAGAGTCCACCAGTATTCTTCCTTTAGTACCCAGAGCTTCTGTTCACAGTCTGGTTTGTGAGCTCCAGCCTTGCTGTGAAGGAAAATGGGAAAACATGTAGAGTGCTCAGGGCTAACCATCTCCCAGAAACCCGAATCAGCAGCTCTCCCATTTACCCTCTTGGGGCCCAAGCTCAGCTTAAGGATGAAACCTGACACGCAATAAGGAATACAGTTTATTTGGGAAGTTTGGGTGTTTTTCTTAGGCCCAGACCCCAGTCTGTGGGATAACTTTTAAAGCCTGAGGGAATTGAGTAAATGAAAGAGGAAAACAATGTTCTTAGGGGTTGTGGGCTCTGCTCCAGCCTGCTTCTGATCTGGCCCTGAGCCACAATTGCCCTGGCAACAGGAGCTAATTGGATACCTAACAGGGACTGCCTTCCGCCACCCTTGAGTTGTCCCCTAGATTGTTGTGGCACGAATACAGTTCACTCCAGCCTTAACCTCCCTGGCCTCAGGTGATCCTCCCACTGCAGCCTCCCAAGTAGCTGGGACTACAGGCATGTATCACCATGCCCAGCTAATTTTATGTATTTATTTTTATTTTGAAGATGGAGTTTCACTCTGTTGCCTAGGCTGGAGTGCAGTGGCACGATCTCGGCTCACTGCAGCCTCTGCCTCCCAGGTTAAATGATTCTCCTGCCTCAGCCTCCCAAGTAGCTGGGACCACAGGCATGCGCCATAACACCCAGCTAATTTTTTGTATTTTTGATAGGGATGGGGTTTCACCATGTTGGCCAGGCTGGTTTTGAACTCCTGACGGGTAATCCACCCGCCTCGGCCTCCCAAAGTGTTGGGATTACAAGCATGAAACACCACGCCTGGCCAATTTTTTGTGTGCTTGTGCATTTTTTTTTTTTTTTTTTTTTTGTAAAGATGGGGTTTCACCACGTTGGCCAGGCTGGTCTCGAACTCCTGGCCTCAAGCCATCTGCCCATCTCAGCCTCCCAAAGTGCTGGGATTATAGGCATGAGCCACTGTTCTCAGCTTTCCCTGGATTCTTGAACAGGGTTTCTGCCTTATGGGACCCCAGCCTAAAGCTAGACATGGACCTTCCTATACTCACATGGAGCAACTCCAGGTTGGAGACATTAATTGCTGCTAGCGGAATTATAGAGCAGGCAGAATTTAAAAGAAAATTCAGCTTGCAATATCGCTGTTAAAATTTACCCATGATCAGGCCGGGTGCGGCGGCTCAAGCCTGTAATCCCAGCACTTTGGGAGGCCGAGGCGGGTGGATCACCTGAGGTCAGGAGTTCAAGACCAGCCTGGCCAACACAGTGAAACCCTGTCTCTACAAAAAATACAGAAGATTAGCTGGATGTGGTGGCACACACCTGTAATCCCAGCTACACGGGAGGCTGAGGCAGGAGAATCGCTTGAACCCAGGAGGCGGAGGTTGCAGTGAGCCGAGGTTGCACTCCAGCCCGGGCAACAGTGGGAGACTCTGTCTCGAAAACAAAACAAAACAACAAAAACCCCATGATCAAAGGCACCACAAACCAGGATACTCCCATGGCTCTTTATGCCTTTTAAGACAAAAACTATCAGCGCGTAGAAAAGGCAGTGAAAATGGCAATGAGGGCTACTAGTGCATTGCCCATTGCTTTTTACTTTCTAGGAAGGAATTTGTCAGTCCAAAAGCAGAAACATAAAGTGACTGCAGCTAGTCTGTGCAGATGCTAAGGACTGACCTTGACCTTCCAGTAGAGTGAGCCTGGACATGATTTGACCTCGTTTTGCAGAGGCTGCCCAGCCCTGCCTTTGAATCTGGCTGTTGATGATCTCCTGATTGAGGAGCAGATCCAGGACACCCAATCTGAACCACTGCAGAGAATTCTTAATCATTCCCAGGGTGGAGCCCTGACCCAAGCTGCACTCACTTTTGCTGTTCTCAAGCATGTCTATATAGGCTTTTGTTGGTGCATTGATTCTTTCACCAGTGACTTGAGCAACTGTTGTGTGCAAAAAAAGCACCCTAATGGCATTTATCAAGGATAGGGAGCGTCAGCAGCATTGTTGACCATATGTTTAGAATCTAACAAAAGCTAGGCCATGGCTTTAGAGAAAACTTGCCAGCAAGTTATCTGCACTCTGTTCTGGTTTAAAATTTGTGTAACTCTGTAAGTGAATGGGATGGGGAGGGGAGATAGTTTCAGAAGAGAATGTTCTCTGAGTCTGTGCATAGTATAGAGTAAGGGGCTTGTGTCCTGAGCTGAAGGTGGAGGAGAAAAGATGGTAGGAATGAAAGGCATGGAAGACATGCTATCCAGTAGCAACTTGGCTCTCACCACCCTCCGTTTCTGACGTTGAAGATGAAATGGGGTTACCCTTCAGGTTTCTCTGCCATGATTTCAGATCAGGGGTTTGGCTTTTTCTGCTCCCTCATCAAACTGATTCTATCCCAGATTAGCCATCCTGAGATCTGCAGGGGAGGAGGAACCAGCAGACCAGGCTTCCCTACTTCTCTTCCCCACTTCTCTTCCCCGATTCCCTCATTTCCCTCAACAAGTAGCTGGCTGCGTTGCTGTTTTCTCTGGTTGCTAAAACAACATTGCTTACTTCTGTCCCACCAACAATCCCAGCCAGAGACTTGAGACTGAGGTGAATACACGAGATGAATTCAGAAACCTCATCCCTGAGATCTTTCACCCGAGTTTTTGAGCCAGCGTCCCACATTGTCCTGGTTCCATTCCCCTCTCAGCAAACACTCTTCATTCATCCCTTTTCCCGTTGGAACTGAAGTCACTAGTTGCTGTAAAATGCCAGCGAGATGTCCAGGCAAAGTGGCATGAGTGAGAGGGAGGAGGCTTCAGAGCTCTTTGGAGGACCAAGAAGCGCAATGGACCACAGGTGCTTCCCCTCAATGCTGCTAAAATAATGAGGGGCAGGCGCTTCCGTGGTGGGTCTTCCTGCAGTCACAACTGTTTCCCAACCGCTGTGTCACACACTCTACTGCTACCCCTTCCTAGCCCAACCTGGCCTGGGGCAGCTGCATTTCAAAGAGAGGACTTCCTCTGTTCTTTATTTAGTCCCAGGCTTAAATTCTACTACATTCAGAAGGGGAGGCGCCGCTGTCGCTGGGAAAGCTGGGCCGGGGCCGGAGGGAGACACAAGGCGGAGATTTCCCAGACCACAGAGTCGAAGTTGTAAAGTTAGAAACCTGGTAGGGAACAGCTGCGGGAGCCTCCTGGGTGGGAAATGTCCTACCTCCCCAACCCCTGCGGCTGCACTTTCACGGGGCTCCCCCCAGGGGGCGCCAGGCCCCGCCTCCACCTTTCTCTGCCTTCTCTTCAGTCGCTCAGTAAATGCCCAGTGTACTCGGTGGGCCAGGCGCTGTGCTGGATCTATTCAAACATAACACACATATTTAATGGAAGGTCAAACATGTTAAGAATTGAAGTACAGTGAGATACATATGATGGTAGACATGAACTAGTGTCCTAGCCAAGTGTTCCTCAAAAGACCCATTCGGACGAAGCGTCCCTCACTAGCCATGACCATTTACTTCTCTTTGTTTCCCTTCTTTCTACCCTAGCCACCACCCCGCAGCACCAGTGACCACTCACTATCTCCAGTGCCTTCTGCCTCAGAGATTGCGAATGAATGGTGCCCAGGCTCTTCCCAGCTGAAGAAGTGGGAGGCAGAGTGCCCAGCTGGAGAGACCAAGCACCCGTCCCTTTAGTTCACAGCAGAGCCAGGGTTTATGACCCCTCCCTGCTGCGACCAACCCCACCCCGCCCCCACTGCCGTGTTTACAGCGCCTTTTCAGCAGTCCCCATCCCACTCCCCAAAGCTGCCAAATGGGTTTATTTTTACCTACTGGGTTGGAAAAGGGGCAAAGGCTGAGGCTGGGGCAGTTCTGTGGCGCCAGCTGGGGCTTAAATACAATGAGAAAGTCCCACCCTGCCAGCTCTGCGTGAAGAGAACCCAGTAGGAAATAAATAGCGCTGTGTGGCCTGCCTGGATGCCTGACCTGCATATGTCTGCCTGGACTCCAGCCCGTCACATGAGCCGAGGCGGGTTAAAAAGAGAGGTCGGGTGATCTCCCAGCTCAGGTATCTGTCCTGGCATGAGGAGCTGTGGGGTGAGGGTGCCAGCTCTTCTTTACAGGGCCTGGTGGACAGGGAGGCCCAGTGGGCAGGGGCAATTCGGGCCAGGGAGGGAGTGGGCCAGGAAGGGAGCCGGACAGGCGGACTTTGCCCCAGTGCCAGTCCGCCTCCAGCTATCAGCCTCCAGCTGTGGGCACTGGGAAAGGGTGATAACGTTCGTAAGGACACTGTGACTGCCTAACGTTGGTAAGGGCAGATGACTGGAAGGGAGAAAAAGCTTGGCAGAAGTTCCAGGACTAAATCTTAATTTGGCCAAAGCCGTTGTTTCCGTCACACCCCACCCGGTGCGTGCGCGCGCACACACACACACACACACACACACACACACACACACACACCATTGCATATCTTTTTCTTTCCCATAGCTTTGACCCCCTTCATGCATTCCTGCCCCCTCCTCCACCCCTTCCAGCTCAGAATGCTAGCATCTGCCTATCTCCAGCAACACAGACACTTCTCCCTCCTCCCACGCCTCTCTCCTGGGACTCAGGCCTGTGGCTGCTTCTCCTTTCTAGGCCTCAGTTTCCCCTTAGGCAGCATGTCTCAGATCCCACTCCCAGGGCCCTCTAGGCAATTTAGGCCAGGAGACAGTGGGAGGCTCCTGGGAGAAGTTTCACTTCTTTTTACTGAAGTTCCAGAACTAGGTTAAAGGATTCAGCAAGCTGAAGACCTCCCTGTTCAGATCTGAGTTCCCTGAGATGTTGGGGGACCTTGAGTCAAGAGGCTCATTTGCTCAGATCCTGTTGCTGAGGAAAGTACCACATATATTGTGGTTGGACCAGTGCAACCCCCAGAACACCTGTTCATTGCAGTGGGTTGGCTGGATAGGGGCGTCTAGGGATCCTGAAGGGACAGAAAACTTGCTCTGTGGGATGATACAGTGCTGTGGAATGGGGAGTGGAGGGAACAGGAGTTGTCGTAGGCCCCAAGATGCCTGAACTCCAGGAGCCCGAGCTAGAGCGATGGCCATGGCATGGGCAGGCAGGACACATTCAATAGCTCTCAACTAGATAATAGTTTTTTTTTGTTTTTTTTTTTTTTGAGATGGAGTTGTGCTCTTGTCGCCCAGGCTGGAGTACAATGGTATGATCTTGGCTCACTGTGACCTCTGCCTCCCGGGTTCAAAGATTCTCCTGCCTCAGCCTCCCAAATAGCTGGGATTCAAGCATGCACCACCACGCCTGGCTTATTTTTTGTATTTTTAGTAGAGACGGGGTTTCACCATGTGGGCCAGGCTGGTCTCGAACTCCTGACCTCAAGTGATCTGCCTGCCTTTGCCTCCCAAAGTGCTGGGATTACAGGCATAAGCCACCATACCCGGCCAATAGAATTTTTTCAAGAGAGAAATTGTCCCTCCTCTGTAAAAAACCAACTACAAGTTTACATATCTAATTGGTCTAGAAAAACAGTGGACATATAGGGAGGGAAACCAGTATAATTTGTAATTTCAAGGACTATTCTGGAACTCCAGACTCCATGGAGATTAATCCTAACACTGGGGACAAATGCCCATTTTCTCTGGTTGGGAAATTTAAGAAATCAAGGTGGAACTGGGCTATATGCAGAAGCATCTGACTTCCTGGAATATAATCAACAAATGTGATTCTGAGCCAGGTTGGGATCAATGCACCAATGTCAAGCAGGCATCTGGGGAGCCCTGACAACATGGAGCTAGATGTGGGGGTCAGAGACATTCCTGAGGGTACTGTATCTAATCCCCCTCAAGGTAGGATAACTGGGTAGTCGAAAGAAGACACCATTTATAAAATGTGGGCAGGGTTTCGGGAAACTACTAAGGGACAGTGAAGTACACCCAGGATAGCCACATGGGGCAGAAGGAAGGGAGTGGTTGCTGGAATCTTAGCGAGCAATAGCGGTGGATGAGGTTGTAGGAGAGAGCTGCCTGCCTGACAGAAGCTGTGGCTTTTGGTAGAGGATGGCAGGCACTGCAACCTCTGGAGAGTGGGGAGAAATCACGGGAATAAATGTGCTGGCCTCATCCTAGTGCCAGCTTATCTTACTCCTGTGCCTCCCATTGGCCTAACTTAATCGGAAGCCACGTCTGGTTGGCATAGTCAAAAAATGCCATCCTTGGCCAGGTGCGGTGGCTCACACCTGCGGTCCCAGCACTTTGGGAGGCCAAGGTGGGAGGATCACTTGAGCCCATGAGTTCAAGACCAGCCTGGGCAACATAGTGAGATCCCCATCACTAAAAAAAAAAAAAAAAAAAAAAAAATGCCATCCTCGTGGCACACAGAGCACAGTGTAGAAGGGTGGAGAGTGGATCCAGAGGGGCGAAGAGTATATATAGCAAATCTCTATGCTCCTAAGCAGGCAATTTCATCAGCATCAAGAAACTTTAATTTTTTTTTTCTTTACGGCCAGGCGCAGTGGCTCATGCCTGTAATCCCAGCACTTTGGGAGGCTGAGGCGGGTGGATCACAAGGTCAAGAGATCGAGACCATCCTGGCCAACATGGTGAAACCCCGTCTCTACTAAAAATACAAAAATTAGCTGGGCATGGTGGTGTGCACCTGTAGTCCCAGCTACTTTAGACTACAGGCACGCACCACCATGCCCAGCTAATTTTTTTGTTTGTTTTGGTAGATATGGGGTCTTGCTATGTTGCTCATGCTGATTTTGAACTTCTAGCCTCAAGCAATCCTCCCAACTTGGCCTCCCAAAGTGCAGGGATTAGTGAGCCACTGCACCCACCCGGCAGTAAACATTTTTTTGAGCACAAACCATGCACAGCCATTTTGCCGTGTACCAAGGATAAAACGCAGAAATGGATTTTCAGCAACCTGGTAGTCCAGCTGGGAGACAGAAGCAGAAGTGTTCAGGGAAGGCTTCATGGAAGAAGTGGGAATGTGAGACGGGGTGGAGGAGGGGATTGGAGGACAGGTGAGCAGAGCGCTGGGAGTACTTTCCTTCACTGTAGCAGAATGTCATTCAGCAACATGATCCACCCCAAGGTCAAGTTTCAGATCTTCCATCCCTGAGATTTTACATAATAGGCATGGTTAAAGATCCCCATGTGACTGTAGCCATGTGACTCCACATATTATGTCCACCTCACCTGGGAAGGATCAGTTTACCTAAATGTCATTCCTGCTGGGTTCTCTGAATGACAGCTGTCTTCCAACTCCAAGAGTGATGTCCTAATTAATCAAGCAATCCATCAATAAAAATTCACCGGCCTCATAAGTAAAAGGCACTGGGAACTTGGGCTACACCTCTTCAGAGCACCTCTTCTTCTCAATGAACTCACATTCTAACAGAACAGAGATATGTAGAAATGATTAAAGTGTGTTTGGTAGGAGGTGTAATGGAGGTACGAGTAAAGTTCTGGGAAAATGCAGTGGAGAGAGTGACTCATTCCTAGAGGTGTTAAAAAAAGGCTTCAGAGAGGTAATATTTGCACTGCAACTCCATTAATGAGTAGGACTTGCTAGGCAGAGGAGGGAATTCCTGGCAGAGGACTTGAAATGTGTGGAAACAGCAAGAAGGTGAGAAAGGATGGTGAAAAATTAAGGGTGGCCAGAGCCTAGGATGGCAGTAATTGAGTCTAGTGGAAAAGCTGTGGGATGGTTTAAAGGGATATTATAGCTCCAGTTAAGGAGTTCACCAGTTAAGCAGACAAATAAGGAACCAAAGATGTTCTAATGCAAGGGAGGGACACAATGAGCTTCTTTTTGGAAAGGCAATTTTCTAGGAGGAGATGGCACTGTTCAAATGCAAGCAATAGGACCTGAGACAGGGATCTGTTCCTCTGCTCCTCTCGGGGCCCCACCCCACATCCCACCTCCTCACCTCCCCATCCCCATCTTTCTCCAGAGAACAGTTGTTATTTGAAATCTGTTACCATCCTGATTTTGCAACTAAAGAACGGGGCCAAATAAATGAGCTTATTTCCTCTTCTAGGACAATGTGGGTTGAACACCCAGGAGGACATTTCCCCTTCCTCCAGTTTTTACCCCATTCCCAAATTTGACGACCGAGAGAATGAGATGAAACCTTAAGTGGAACAGCCAGTCTGTGGGACTCAGGAACTGCCAATCCTAGAGGAACCAGCCAACCCCAGAGCTTGTCAGTTTCCCCAGGGCTCGTTCCACATTTTGTGACAATTCCCCCAGGTCTAAGCTGAAAAACACCAAAAAATAGGCCAGCTCTTTTCCATTTAATTAGCCATTCCTCCAAGGATGCCAGGTGGAATGAAGTACGAGCAGATGCATGGGGACAAGAGAAGGCGGGAGTAGATGCTAAATGGGGTTCTGTGAGCCCAGGCTCACCTCTACCAAGGCTGCTTCTTAGAATAAGGAGCTCAAGAGGCAGACGAAGGGGCTGCAGCCTTTGGGCTTGCAAGCCAAGGGTTTCAGGCACTGGGCACGGAGGGGAGCCGGCATGGCCAGTGAGGAGGCCAGAAGGGTGGGAGCAGGTGCCGTGGGAGCAGGTGCTGGGGCAGCTGTGCAGGGTCTCTAGGGCAGGAGGAACCGCTGCTTCCTCCGCAAGGGCGAATGCAGGGTCGCCTGGGGCTCACCCGCCCTAGTCCGGCTCCTGTTTCAGGGCTGTGGGCAGCCAACAGACCACACCGGCAGCCTTGTGATAGCAGCCAACTGAGGTGCTGGAGTCTATTTTTGGAGCTCTTAAGAGTAGGGGGAACTGCCAGCTGCCTGGGACCAGATGATCTCTGCAATGCCTTCCTTATCTAAAACAGGGTGACGCGTGCTAAGCAAATGCAGGCAGCACTCGGGCAAGGGAGAGAGAAAAAGACCCCTTAGAGCCCTGAGGGTCTCTCACCCTTAGCAAATACCTCCTTAGCGCCGCAGAAAGACCACCGATGTGGAGCAACTACCCCCCCTGGTGGTGAATATCGGGATAAGATTACACAGGGGCAGCTTACTTGGCCCTCACTTGGTCTTGCAATTTCTCCCCCAAGTCTCTGAAAGGTGACTGGGAGCCTGCGGTGTGAGTCCAGGGTGATTCCTTTTCTTTCTAGCTTCCTTCTTTTTCTCCTGTTTGCAGTTATGGTCCCTAGCCAGAGGCTTTCAACTTTATGGATCAACATGGCACAGTGGAGGAAGCATTGGCGCTGTGCCCTGAATCTGAGTTTGAATTTCTTTATTTAAGCCTAGCTGTTTCCATATCTGTAATTTGGAGATGATGCTAGAGGCACTGTCTGCCTCCCAAGGAGGCTGTGAGATCCAATGTGAACCACTAATCACAGACAAGGAAAGAGGGATGCTTCCTGGTCCCACGACCCAGTTAGTTCCATTGCTGGCTAGGGTGATCTTCCCTGTCAGAAGCCAGCATCACTGTCACCCATGCCTGGTCCTGAGATACCCCACAAGGCTCAGCTCCTCGTGGCTGCTAGGATTCTTTCATTCTGGTCAGGAAGTCACCTTTCCAGCTGCCTAGGCTGATGGCCAGAGGAGGACGGGATGACATGGTGATTACGGCACTCAGGCTGGAAAGACATAGGGAGGAGTCGTGAGCCTATTTGTTGTTGTTGCCACTTAACAGTCTTATTATTGACATTTATTTTTAGGTATCTTACCGGACATTTCTTTTATGCACTGTGACTCTTTGTCTATCAGATGCTGGATTTTGTTGGTGAGACACAAGACAGAGAACAAATTCTTGTTCTCCCTAAGGGAGATACTTCGCCCATGCTTGTGACTCTCTTTCCACAGGTCAGTTAGTGGAGCTTTTGCTATAGCTTCTTTTCTTTTCTTTTTGTACTGCTGGCTTAAAAACAAAAATGAGGTGAGTTGTCTGAATGGTCTGAAAGGTCAATTCTTTGGGAGCAATGTTGCACTGTGTGTTTAAAAGTTATTTTCAAGAGTTTTGCTAGGTGTACCTCAATTTTTTTATTGTGGCAAAATACAACACGAAAGTTACTATTTTAATGATTTTTACATGTACAATTCATTGGCATTAAGTACATTAACGATGTTGTGCAACTATCACCATCATCTGTCTCTAGAACTTTTTCATCATCTCCAACAGAAGCTGTACTGGGCTGCCACTATTAAAGAACCATAAAGAAACTATTAGCTTCTTTATGACTTAAGCCACTGCTAATTATCTTTTCAACTGCACGCATTCTCTCCTTCTGGTCTCCCTAGACTGGGCACAAGAGTAGTGGCTACTGTGTTCTGGCTCCTTCTCCAGGAGAATTAATCAGATAATACAGCAGAGAAGGGGGCTGGGGCTTCCTCGGTTTCCTATAGTTGCTGAATTCTTTGGCAAGAGGGGTGCCTCCAGGGGTCCTGAATGTCTCTCCCCAAATCAGAACCAGAGCCGACCCATAGCTTAGCTCTGGGCCTGACGTATAATGGGCACTTAATAAAGATTTGTTTGATAAATGAATCTGGACAGATAGATTTGCCATCCCTGGAAAAAGAAACTTTATGGCTGCTCATAGTCACAATGAATTGACAAGGACATGCACTTTGGGGTCAGAAAGATCTGGGTTCACATGCTGGCCCTATTCCTTACTAAGTAGGTGGCTCATTTGTTGTTGTTGAGCCACAAAATAGGAATAACAATTCTTACCTTATGGTGTGCAGTTTGAATGAGGCAATGTACATGAGGTACTTTACCTTAGAGTAGTAGAAGCTCCATGATGTTAGTTCTGTCTCCCTTCCATCTACTAGAAAATCTCACAGACGCATCTCCAGAAATGACTTTCTCTTCTAAATGCCAGTTCCTTTTCCTATTGCCTCACTTATTGTCAGTTCCTAAGAGTGAGAATCCTCCCTATTTTCTGAACTCTAACCTTAGCCCTTTCAAGTTAGGATTCTAATGCTGTTAAAATGTGAAAGGGAAATGATACTTTCTTTGTATTTTGAAATTGAGCCTCCTCAATTTCTGTTTTATTGGATGGATTTGTGTTTTCTTTTCTCTTTTCTCTCTCTCTCTCTTTTTTTTTTTTTTGACATGGAGTCTCACTCTGTCACCCAGGCTGGAGTACAGTGGTGCCATCTTGGCTCACTGCAACCTCCGCCTCCTGGGTTCAAGCGATTCTCTCACCTCAGCCTCCCAAGTAGCTGGGATTACAGGTGTGCGCCATTACACCCAGCTCATTTTTTTTTTTTTTTTTTTTTGGGACAAAGTCTCACTCTGTTGCCCAGGCTGGAGTGTAGTGGTGCAATCTCAGCTCACTGCAACCTCTGCCACAGGTTCAAGCAATTCTCTACCTCAGCCTCCCCAGTAGCTAGGACTACAGGTGTGTGCCACTACACCCAGCTAACTCTTGTATATTTAGTAGATACAGGGATTCACTATGTTGGCCAGGCTGGTCTCGAACTCCTGGCCTCAAGTGATCTGCCTGCCTCAGCCTCCCAAAGTGCTGGGATTACAGGTGTGAGCAACTGTGCCCGGCTATTTTTTTGTATTTTTTAGTAGAGATGGGGTTTCGCCATGTTGACCAGGCTGATCTTGAACTCCTGACCTCAGGTCATCCACCTCGGCCTCCCAAAGTGCTGTGATTACAGGTGTGAGCCACTGCGCCTGGCAGGATTTGTGTTTTCTTATGCACATTATATGTTCCCTTTCTCTCTTCCCGTGCCCTCACCCTCACCGCCCACCCCCGCCTCCAGTGCATAATCACTGGCACAAGCTGCTTCTCTCACCCACTAAACTGAAACTATCATGTCTTTTACTATTTCCAAATCCAAGAACTTGGCCACATTCCCCTGGGACAGAGTTCACAGTGCTTGTCATAGGCACTCAGGTTTTAATAATAGCCAGGATTATCAATCATTCACAATGCCTCTTTCATCCACCCCTTCCTTCCAATTACTTGGCACATTTGTTTTCACCTCCAAATTCTAAGATAAAGGCATGGAGTACATTATTTGTGGAAATTAAGTGAGCTGGCTAAGGTCTGTGCCCTGTTGGATATATGACTCTGTCTACCATGTGGAGTAGTTGGAAAAGTTAAAACCCAGAGGAAAGGAATGCACTTCAATTTCAAACCAGTAAATATTCATTGGGTGCTATGAATATTCAAGGCTTTGGGGCAATATGAGCTTATGAAATCTGCAAATCTGATGGCAGAGATTTTAAAATAGTATTTTAGAATAGTCTCTTAACTAATATCCCAGTCACCATTTGTCCCCTCCTCAATCTAATCTACACAACACTTACAGTTTATATAAATAGTGTTCATGACTTAGGGGTCAAGACTGTGAAGAGTCCCATGTACTCTAGGGAGTTCGGCCCATTTCTCTAGGCTCTGCAGAGCTATTCAAATATTTTTAAGCCCCCTGGAATCAAATGATCAGATCTGCATTTTAAAAAATTATTGGGGTGATATTGGGAGAAGGGATTGGAAAGGGGAAGACCAGAAGCAATCAGGGGGCTGGTGCCATAATCCAGATGGAAGCTGGTGATTGCCTGAAGCAGGGCAGTGGCATGAGAATGGAGAGAAGGGAACAGTGGGGAGGTGACATTAGCTGGAATTGTAATTGATTATTGGGGGTGAGAGACAGTGAGGAGTCAAGGTTGACTACCAGCATCAGCCTTTGGCAACCAGATGGAGAGTGGTACCTTCTCTGAGTGGCAGGATGAAGGAGGGTGTATGTGTGTGTGTACAGTGTAGATAGAGTCAGTTCTGTAGATATTGAACTTAAGCTGTCTGAAAATAGTAGTGAAAGTCCACTATGGGTATGAGTTTAAGAAAAGTATTTGGGTTGAATTTGTAAATTTGGGGGTCACGGGTGTAGATTAGCTGGTAGTTGAAGCCTGGGAAATTGTATAAAATGATTACTAAAGACAGTCAAGGGAGGAGCCCTGGAAAACCTCAACACTTTAGAGGGAGGTTGGGGAGAAGAGCAATTGAAGGAAACTGAGGAGAAGTGGGCAAGGATGGAGAAGTAGAATTCAGAGTGTGAGGTCCTGATAATCAAGGGATCCTGTGCTGCAAAGAGGCCCAGGACAGAGTTTTGAAGGAAGAAGGAAGGGTTGGGGCAAAGTGTGAAATTCAGCAGAGAGATCTAAACTGAGATGGTGAGCTAAGATAAGGAGATAGGAGGAGTGAGTGGCCGAGGCAAAAGCCGAATTTCAGAAGAGTTGAGTGCTCAGGAGTTGAAGAAGTGGAGACAGGAAGTATAGTTAAATTGCTCCTGCAGTTGAGTTTGCTAGGAAAGGAACAAGAGGAAACCAGGCAGGTGTCAGGAAGAGGCAGGACAGCAGGCAAGAAATACTTAAAGATGTTACAGACAGGGGAAAGTGTCACTTGAGTGGAAATGGAGCAAATGCTGTTCCCTACTCAAAACCATCCCCCTCGCTTGTTGGGCCCCATGATGTGTCTGTAATCTCAGCACTTTGGGAGGTTCAGGCCGAAGGATCCCTTGAGCCCAGGAGTTTGAGTCCAGCGTGGACAACCCAGTTGAAGCTTCTTTCTCTAAAAAACAATACCAGAACCAAAAACCCATCCCCCTTTTCCTTCCTTGTGACAGAACCCATACCTGGTTCAGCAGGTGGGTAGCAAAGTGCCAGGGGAAGGTTGGTTCCTCCCCGACCTGGGGAACATTCTGGTTCTTTTGTGCAGCCATTGGTTTAGGAGTGGGCATGTGACCCACTTCTGGCCAATGGGACATTATGGGAAGCCAACTGAAGTTCTCTGGGAAATATTTTTCCCTTGATAAATACCATAATTTTGGAGGAAATTTTATTTATTTATTTATTTATTTATTTATTTATTTATTTATTTAAGACAGGGTCTCACTCTGTTGGCCAGGCTGGAGTGCAATGGTACGATCTCAGCTCAGTGTAGCCTTGATCTCCTGGGCTCAAGCAATCCTCCCACCTCAGCACCCCCGGAGCAGCTGGGACGAGGCACACACTACCACTCCCAGCTAATTGATTTTTATATTTTATAGAGACGAGGTCTCTGTATGTTGTCCAGGTTGGTCT